>NC_000010.11:41693521-41916265 GCF_000001405.40 Homo sapiens
GAATTCCCAGTCACTTCTTTGTGTTGTGTGCATTCAACTCAGAGATTTGAACCTTCCTTTAGAGAGAGCACATTTGAAACACTCTTTTTGTGTAATTTGCTAGGGCAGATTTCAAGCTCTTCGAGGACAATGGTAGGAAAGGAAATATCTTCGTATTAAAACTAGGCAAAATCATTCTCAGAAACTACTTTGTGATGTGTGCGTTCCACTCACAGACTTTAACCTTTCTTTTAATTGAGCAGTTTGGAAACACTCTCTTTGTAAAGTCTGCAGTAGGATATTTGGACCTCTTTGAGGCCTTCGTTGGAAACGGGATTTCTTCTTATAATGCTAGATAGAAGAATTCTCAGTAACTTGTTTGTGTTGTGTGTATTCAACTAACAGAGTTGAACCTTCCTTTAGAAAGAGCAGTTTTCAAACACTCTGTTTGTGCAATTTCCAATGGAGATTTCTAGGGATTTGAGGCCAGTCTTAGAAATGGAAATATCTTTGTATAAAAACTAGACAGTGTCATTCTGAGATACTACCTTGTGATGTGTGCGTTCAACTCACAGAGTTTAACCTTTCTTTTCATAGAGCAGTTTGGAAACACTCTATTTGTAAAGTCTGCAAGTGGATATTTGGACCTCTTTGAGGCCTTCGTTGGAAACGGGATTTCTTCCTATAATGCTAGACAGAAGTATTCTCAGTCACTTCTTTGTGTTGTGTGCATTCAACTCAGAGATTTGAACCTTCCTTTAGAGAGAGCACATTTGAAACACTCTTTCTGTGTAATTTCCTAGTGCAGATTTCAAGCTCTTCGAGGACAATGGTAGAAAAGGAAATATCTTCGTATGAAAACTAGACAAAATCATTCTCAGAAACTACTTTGTGATGTGTGCGTTCCACTCACAGAGTTTAACCTTTCTTTTAATTGAGCAGTTTGGAAACACTATTTTTTTAAAGTCTGCAAGTGGATATTTGGACTTCTTTGAGCCCTTCGTTGGAAACGGGATTTCTCCATATACTGCTAGACAGAAGCATTTTCAGTAACTACTTTGTGTTGTGTGTATTCAAGTCACAGATTTGAACCTTTCTTTAGACAGAGCAGATTTGAAACGCTCTTCTCGTGGCTTTTGCATGTGGAGGTTTCAAACGATTTGAGGCCAATGGTAGAAAAGGAAATTTCTTCGTATAAAAACTAGAGAGAATCATTCTCAGAAATTACTTTGTGATGTGTGCGTGCAACTCACGGAGATTAACCTTTCTTTTCATAGAGCAGGTTGGAAAGACTCTGTCTGTAAGGTCTGCAAGTGGATATTTAGATTTCTGTGAGGCCTTCGTTGCAAACGGGATTTCTTCATATACTCACAGACAGAAGAAATCTCAGTAACTATTTGTGCTGTGTGCATTCAACTCACGGAGTTCAACCTTCCTTTATTCAGAGCAGTTTTGAAACACTCTTTTTGTGGAATTTGCAAGTGGAGATTTCAAGGGATTTGAGGCCAATCTTAGAAATGGAAATATCTTCGAATTAAAACAACACAGAATCGTTCGCAGAAACTAGTTTGTGATGTGTGCGTTCAACTCACAGTGTTTAACGTTTCTTTTCATAGAGCAGTTTGGAAACGCTCTCTTTGTAAAGTCTCCAAGTGGATATTTGGAGCTCTTTGAGCCCTTCGTTGGAAACGGGACTTCTTCATATAATGCTAGACAGAAGAATACTCAGTAACTTCTTTGTGCTGTGTGTATTCAACTCACAGAGTTGAACTTTTCTTTAGACAGAGCAGATTTGATACTCTCTTTTCGTGGCTTTTGCCAGAGGAGATTTCAAGTCATTGGAGGCCAATGGTAGAAAAGAAAATATCTTCGTATAATAACGAAACAGAATCATTCTCAGAAACTTCTTTGTGATGTGTGCGTTCAACTCACAGAGTTTAACCTTTCTTTTCATAGAGCAGGTTGGAAGCACTCTCTTTGTAAAGTCTGCAAGCAGATATTTGGACCTTTTTGAGGCCTTCGTTGGAAACGGGATTTCTTCATATACTGCTAGACCGAAGAATTCTCAGTAACTTCTTTGGGTTGTGTGTATTCAATTCACAGAGTTGAACCTTTCTTTAGACCGAGCAGATTTGAAACTCTCCTTTCGTTGCTTTTGCAAGTGGAGATTTCAAGCGATTTGAGGCCAATTGTAGAAAAGGAAATATCTTCGTATAAAAACTAGACAGAACAATTCTCAGAAACTGCTCTGTGATTTGTGCGTTCAACTCACAGATTTTAAACTTTCTTTTCATAGAGCAGTTTGGAAACACTCTTTTTGTAAAGTCTGCAAGCGGATATTTGGACCTCTTTCAGGCCTTCTTTGGAAAAGGGATTTCTCCATATACTGCTAGCCCGAAGAATTTTCAGTAACTACTTTGTGTTGTGTGTATTCAACTCACAGATTTGAACCTTTCTTTAGACAGAGCAGATTTGAAACGCTCTTTTCGTGGCTTTTGCAAGTAAAGATTTCAAGCGATTTGAGGCCAATGGTAGAAAAGGAAATAGCTTCGTATAAAAACTAGACAGAATCATTCTCAGAATCTGCTTTGTGATGTGTGCGTGCAACTCACGGAGATTAACCTTTCTTTTCATAGAGAAGTTTGGAAAGAGTCTGTCTGTAAGGTCTGCAAGTGGATATTTAGATTTCTGTGAGGCCTTCGTCGCAAACGGGATTTCTTCATATACTGCCTGACAGAAGAATTCTCAGTTACTACTTTCTGTTGTGTGCATTCAACTCACAGAGTTGAACCTTCCTATATTCAGAGCAGTTTTGAAACACTCTTTTTGTGGAATTTGCAAGTGGAGATTTCAAGGGATTTGAGGCCAATCTTAGAAATGGAAATATCTTCGAATTAAAACTACACAGAATCATTCGCAGAAACTAGTTTGTGATGTGTGCGTTCAACTCACAGAGTTTAACGTTTCTTTTCATAGAGCAGTTTGGAAACGCTGTCTTTGTAAAGTCTGCAAGTGGATATTAGGACCTCTTTGAGGCCTTCGTTGGAAACGGGATTTCCTCCTATAATGCTAGACAGAAGAATTCCCAGTCACTTCTTTGTGTTGTGTGCATTCAACTCAGAGATTTGAACCTTCCTTTAGAGAGAGCACATTTGAAACACTCTTTTTGTGTAATTTGCTAGGGCAGATTTCAAGCTCTTCGAGGACAATGGTAGGAAAGGAAATATCTTCGTATTAAAACTAGGCAAAATCATTCTCAGAAACTACTTTGTGATGTGTGCGTTCCACTCACAGACTTTAACCTTTCTTTTAATTGAGCAGTTTGGAAACACTCTCTTTGTAAAGTCTGCAGTAGGATATTTGGACCTCTTTGAGGCCTTCGTTGGAAACGGGATTTCTTCTTATAATGCTAGATAGAAGAATTCTCAGTAACTTGTTTGTGTTGTGTGTATTCAACTAACAGAGTTGAACCTTCCTTTAGAAAGAGCAGTTTTCAAACACTCTGTTTGTGCAATTTCCAATGGAGATTTCTAGGGATTTGAGGCCAGTCTTAGAAATGGAAATATCTTTGTATAAAAACTAGACAGTGTCATTCTGAGATACTACCTTGTGATGTGTGCGTTCAACTCACAGAGTTTAACCTTTCTTTTCATAGAGCAGTTTGGAAACACTCTATTTGTAAAGTCTGCAAGTGGATATTTGGACCTCTTTGAGGCCTTCGTTGGAAACGGGATTTCTTCCTATAATGCTAGACAGAAGTATTCTCAGTCACTTCTTTGTGTTGTGTGCATTCAACTCAGAGATTTGAACCTTCCTTTAGAGAGAGCACATTTGAAACACTCTTTCTGTGTAATTTCCTAGTGCAGATTTCAAGCTCTTCGAGGACAATGGTAGAAAAGGAAATATCTTCGTATGAAAACTAGACAAAATCATTCTCAGAAACTACTTTGTGATGTGTGCGTTCCACTCACAGAGTTTAACCTTTCTTTTAATTGAGCAGTTTGGAAACACTATTTTTTTAAAGTCTGCAAGTGGATATTTGGACTTCTTTGAGCCCTTCGTTGGAAACGGGATTTCTCCATATACTGCTAGACAGAAGCATTTTCAGTAACTACTTTGTGTTGTGTGTATTCAAGTCACAGATTTGAACCTTTCTTTAGACAGAGCAGATTTGAAACGCTCTTCTCGTGGCTTTTGCATGTGGAGGTTTCAAACGATTTGAGGCCAATGGTAGAAAAGGAAATTTCTTCGTATAAAAACTAGAGAGAATCATTCTCAGAAATTACTTTGTGATGTGTGCGTGCAACTCACGGAGATTAACCTTTCTTTTCATAGAGCAGGTTGGAAAGACTCTGTCTGTAAGGTCTGCAAGTGGATATTTAGATTTCTGTGAGGCCTTCGTTGCAAACGGGATTTCTTCATATACTCACAGACAGAAGAAATCTCAGTAACTATTTGTGCTGTGTGCATTCAACTCACGGAGTTCAACCTTCCTTTATTCAGAGCAGTTTTGAAACACTCTTTTTGTGGCATTTGCAAGTGGAGATTTCAAGGGATTTGAGGCCAATCTTAGAAATGGAAATATCTTCGAATTAAAACAACACAGAATCGTTCGCAGAAACTAGTTTGTGATGTGTGCGTTCAACTCACAGTGTTTAACGTTTCTTTTCATAGAGCAGTTTGGAAACGCTCTCTTTGTAAAGTCTCCAAGTGGATATTTGGAGCTCTTTGAGCCCTTCGTTGGAAACGGGACTTCTTCATATAATGCTAGACAGAAGAATACTCAGTAACTTCTTTGTGCTGTGTGTATTCAACTCACAGAGTTGAACTTTTCTTTAGACAGAGCAGATTTGATACTCTCTTTTCGTGGCTTTTGCCAGAGGAGATTTCAAGTCATTGGAGGCCAATGGTAGAAAAGAAAATATCTTCGTATAATAACGAAACAGAATCATTCTCAGAAACTTCTTTGTGATGTGTGCGTTCAACTCACAGAGTTTAACCTTTCTTTTCATAGAGCAGGTTGGAAGCACTCTCTTTGTAAAGTCTGCAAGCAGATATTTGGACCTTTTTGAGGCCTTCGTTGGAAACGGGATTTCTTCATATACTGCTAGACCAAAGAATTCTCAGTAACTTCTTTGGGTTGTGTGTATTCAATTCACAGAGTTGAACCTTTCTTTAGACCGAGCAGATTTGAAACTCTCCTTTCGTTGCTTTTGCAAGTGGAGATTTCAAGCGATTTGAGGCCAATTGTAGAAAAGGAAATATCTTCGTATAAAAACTAGACAGAACAATTCTCAGAAACTGCTCTGTGATTTGTGCGTTCAACTCACAGATTTTAAACTTTCTTTTCATAGAGCAGTTTGGAAACACTCTTTTTGTAAAGTCTGCAAGCGGATATTTGGACCTCTTTCAGGCCTTCTTTGGAAAAGGGATTTCTCCATATACTGCTAGCCCGAAGAATTTTCAGTAACTACTTTGTGTTGTGTGTATTCAACTCACAGATTTGAACCTTTCTTTAGACAGAGCAGATTTGAAACGCTCTTTTCGTGGCTTTTGCAAGTAAAGATTTCAAGCGATTTGAGGCCAATGGTAGAAAAGGAAATAGCTTCGTATAAAAACTAGACAGAATCATTCTCAGAATCTGCTTTGTGATGTGTGCGTGCAACTCACGGAGATTAACCTTTCTTTTCATAGAGAAGTTTGGAAAGAGTCTGTCTGTAAGGTCTGCAAGTGGATATTTAGATTTCTGTGAGGCCTTCGTCGCAAACGGGATTTCTTCATATACTGCCTGACAGAAGAATTCTCAGTTACTACTTTCTGTTGTGTGCATTCAACTCACAGAGTTGAACCTTCCTATATTCAGAGCAGTTTTGAAACACTCTTTTTGTGGAATTTGCAAGTGGAGATTTCAAGGGATTTGAGGCCAATCTTAGAAATGGAAATATCTTCGAATTAAAACTACACAGAATCATTCGCAGAAACTAGTTTGTGATGTGTGCGTTCAACTCACAGAGTTTAACGTTTCTTTTCATAGAGCAGTTTGGAAACGCTGTCTTTGTAAAGTCTGCAAGTGGATATTAGGACCTCTTTGAGGCCTTCGTTGGAAACGGGATTTCCTCCTATAATGCTAGACAGAAGAATTCCCAGTCACTTCTTTGTGTTGTGTGCATTCAACTCAGAGATTTGAACCTTCCTTTAGAGAGAGCACATTTGAAACACTCTTTTTGTGTAATTTGCTAGTGCAGATTTCAAGCTCTTCGAGGACAATGGTAGGAAAGGAAATATCTTTGTATTAAAACTAGACAAAATCATTCTCAGAAACTACTTTGTGATGTGTGCGTTCCACTCACAGACTTTAACCTTTCTTTTAATTGAGCAGTTTGGAAACACTCTCTTTGTAAAGTCTGCAGTAGGATATTTGGACCTCTTTGAGGCCTTCGTTGGAAACGGGATTTCTTCATATAATGCTAGATAGAAGAATTCTCAGTAACTTGTTTGTGTTGTGTGTATTCAACTAACAGAGTTGAACCTTCCTTTAGAAAGAGCAGTTTTCAAACACTCTGTTTGTGCAATTTCCAATGGAGATTTCTAGGGATTTGAGGCCAGTCTTAGAAATGGAAATATCTTTGTATAAAAACTAGACAGTGTCATTCTGAGATACTACCTTGTGATGTGTGCGTTCAACTCACAGAGTTTAACCTTTCTTTTCATAGAGCAGTTTGGAAACACTCTATTTGTAAAGTCTGCAAGTGGATATTTGGACCTCTTTGAGGCCTTCGTTGGAAACGGGATTTCTTCCTATAATGCTAGACAGAAGTATTCTCAGTCACTTCTTTGTGTTGTGTGCATTCAACTCAGAGATTTGAACCTTCCTTTAGAGAGAGCACATTTGAAACACTCTTTCTGTGTAATTTGCTAGTGCAGATTTCAAGCTCTTCGAGGACAATGGTAGAAAAGGATATATCTTCGTATGAAAACTAGACAAAATCATTCTCAGAAACTACTTTGTGATGTGTGCGTTCCACTCACAGAGTTTAACCTTTCTTTTAATTGAGCAGTTTGGAAACACTATTTTTGTAAAGTCTGCAAGTGGATATTTGGACTTCTTTGAGCCCTTCGTTGGAAACGGGATTTCTCCATATACTGCTAGACCGAAGCATTTTCAGTAACTACTTTGTGTTGTGTGTATTCAACTCACAGATTTGAACCTTTCTTTAGACAGAGCAGATTTGAAACGCTCTTCTCGTGGCTTTTGCATGTGGAGGTTTCAAACGATTTGAGGCCAATGGTAGAAAAGGAAATATCTTCGTATAAAAACTAGAGAGAATCATTCTCAGAAATTACTTTGTGATGTGTGCGTGCAACTCACGGAGATTAACCTTTCTTTTCATAGAGCAGTTTGGAAAGACTCTGTCTGTAAGGTCTGCAAGTGGATATTTAGATTTCTGTGAGGCCTTCGTTGCAAACGGGATTTCTTCATATACTCACAGACAGAAGAATTCTCAGTAACTATTTGTGTTGTGTGCATTCAACTCACGGAGCTGAACCTTCCTTTATTCGGAGCAGTTTTGAAACACTCTTTTTGTGGAATTTGCAAGTGGAGATTTCAAGGGATTTGAGGCCAATCTTAGAAATGGAAATATCTTCGAATTAAAACTACACAGAATCGTTCGCAGAAACTAGTTTGTGATGTTTGCGTTCAACTCACAGAGTTTAACGTTTCATTTCATAGAGCAGTTTGGAAACGCTCTCTTTGTAAAGTCTCCAAGTGGATATTTGGAGCTCTTTGAGCCCTTCGTTGGAAACGGGACTTCTTCATATAATGCTAGACAGAAGAATACTCAGTAACTTCTTTGTGCTGTGTGTATTCAACTCACAGAGTTGAACTTTTCTTTAGACAGAGCAGATTTGATACTCTCTTTTCGTGGCTTTTGCCAGAGGAGATTTCAAGTCATTGGAGGCCAATGGTAGGAAAGAAAATATCTTCGTATAATAACTAAACAGAATCATTCTCAGAAGCTTCTTTGTGATGTGTGCGTTCAACTCACAGAGTTTAACCTTTCTTTTCATAGAGCAGGTTGGAAGCACTCTCTTTGTAAAGTCTGCAAGCAGATATTTGGACCTTTTTGAGGCCTTCGTTGGAAACGGGATTTCTTCATATACTGCTAGACCAAAGAATTCTCAGTAACTTCTTTGGGTTGTGTGTATTCAATTCACAGCGTTGAACCTTTCTTTAGACCGAGCAGATTTGAAACTCTCCTTTCGTTGCTTTTGCAAGTGGAGATTTCAAGCGATTTGAGGCCAATTGTAGAAAAGGAAATATCTTCGTATAAAAACTAGACAGAACAATTCTCAGAAACTGCTCTGTGATTTGTGCGTTCAACTCACAGATTTTAAACTTTCTTTTCATAGAGCAGTTTGGAAACACTCTTTTTGTAAAGTCTGCAAGCGGATATTTGGACCTCTTTCAGGCCTTCTTTGGAAACGGGATTTCTCCATATACTGCTAGCCCGAAGAATTTTCAGTAACTACTTTGTGTTGTGCGTATTCAACTCACAGATTTGAACCTTTCTTTAGACAGAGCAGATTTGAAACGCTCTTTTCGTGGCTTTTGCAAGTAAAGATTTCAAGCGATTTGAGGCCAATGGTAGAAAAGGAAATATCTTCGTATAAAAACTAGGCAGAATCGTTCTCAGAATCTACTTTGTGATGTGTGCGTGCAACTCACGGAGATTAACCTTTCTTTTCATAGAGAAGTTTGGAAAGAGTCTGTCTGTAAAGTCTGCAAGTGGATATTTAGATTTCTGTGAGGCCTTCGTTGCAAACGGGATTTCTTCATATACTGCCCGACAGAAGAATTCTGTTACTACTTTCTGTTGTGTGCATTCAACTCACAGAGTTGAACCTTCCTATATTCAGAGCAGTTTTGAAACACTCTTTTTGTGGAATTTGCAAGTGGAGATTTCAAGGGATTTGAGGCCAATCTTAGAAATGGAAATATCTTCGAATTAAAACTACACAGAATCATTCGCAGAAACTAGTTTGTGATGTGTGCGTTCAACTCACAGAGTTTAACGTTTCT
The DNA here is from genome assembly GCF_000001405.40 of Homo sapiens. Lineage (NCBI taxonomy): Eukaryota > Metazoa > Chordata > Mammalia > Primates > Hominidae > Homo > Homo sapiens. Next base: position 41,702,583 of record NC_000010.11, read on the forward strand.
TTTCATAGAGCAGTTTGGAAACGCTGTCTTTGTAAAGTCTGCAAGTGGATATTAGGACCTCTTTGAGGCCTTCGTTGGAAACGGGATTTCCTCCTATAATGCTAGACAGAAGAATTCCCAGTCACTTCTTTGTGTTGTGTGCATTCAACTCAGAGATTTGAACCTTCCTTTAGAGAGAGCACATTTGAAACACTCTTTTTGTGTAATTTGCTAGTGCAGATTTCAAGCTCTTCGAGGACAATGGTAGGAAAGGAAATATCTTTGTATTAAAACTAGACAAAATCATTCTCAGAAACTACTTTGTGATGTGTGCGTTCCACTCACAGACTTTAACCTTTCTTTTAATTGAGCAGTTTGGAAACACTCTCTTTGTAAAGTCTGCAGTAGGATATTTGGACCTCTTTGAGGCCTTCGTTGGAAACGGGATTTCTTCATATAATGCTAGATAGAAGAATTCTCAGTAACTTGTTTGTGTTGTGTGTATTCAACTAACAGAGTTGAACCTTCCTTTAGAAAGAGCAGTTTTCAAACACTCTGTTTGTGCAATTTCCAATGGAGATTTCTAGGGATTTGAGGCCAGTCTTAGAAATGGAAATATCTTTGTATAAAAACTAGACAGTGTCATTCTGAGATACTACCTTGTGATGTGTGCGTTCAACTCACAGAGTTTAACCTTTCTTTTCATAGAGCAGTTTGGAAACACTCTATTTGTAAAGTCTGCAAGTGGATATTTGGACCTCTTTGAGGCCTTCGTTGGAAACGGGATTTCTTCCTATAATGCTAGACAGAAGTATTCTCAGTCACTTCTTTGTGTTGTGTGCATTCAACTCAGAGATTTGAACCTTCCTTTAGAGAGAGCACATTTGAAACACTCTACTTGTGTAATTTGCTAGTACAGATTTCAAGCTCTTCGAGGACAATGGTAGAAAAGGAAATATCTTCGTATGAAAACTAGACAAAATCATTCTCAGAAACTACTTTGTGATGTGTGCGTTCCACTCACAGAGTTTAACCTTTCTTTTAATTGAGCAGTTTGGAAACACTATTTTTGTAAAGTCTGCAAGTGGATATTTGGACTTCTTTGAGCCCTTCGTTGGAAACGGGATTTCTCCATATACTGCTAGACCGAAGCATTTTCAGTAACTACTTTGTGTTGTGTGTATTCAACTCACAGATTTGAACCTTTCTTTAGACAGAGCAGATTTGAAACGCTCTTTTCGTGGCTTTTGCAAGTAAAGATTTCAAGCGATTTGAGGCCAATGGTAGAAAAGGAAATATCTTCGTATAAAAACTAGACAGAATCGTTCTCAGAATCTACTTTGTGATGTGTGCGTGCAACTCACGGAGATTAACCTTTCTTTTCATAGAGAAGTTTGGAAAGAGTCTGTCTGTAAGGTCTGCAAGTGGATATTTAGATTTCTGTGAGGCCTTCGTTGCAAACGGGATTTCTTCATATACTGCCCGACAGAAGAATTCTGTTACTACTTTCTGTTGTGTGCATTCAACTCACAGAGTTGAACCTTCCTATATTCAGAGCAGTTTTGAAACACTCTTTTTGTGGAATTTGCAAGTGGAGATTTCAAGGGATTTGAGGCCAATCTTAGAAATGGAAATATCTTCGAATTAAAACTACACAGAATCATTCGCAGAAACTAGTTTGTGATGTGTGCGTTCAACTCACAGAGTTTAACGTTTCTTTTCATAGAGCAGTTTGGAAACGCTGTCTTTGTAAAGTCTGCAAGTGGATATTAGGACCTCTTTGAGGCCTTCGTTGGAAACGGGATTTCCTCCTATAATGCTAGACAGAAGAATTCCCAGTCACTTCTTTGTGTTGTGTGCATTCAACTCAGAGATTTGAACCTTCCTTTAGAGAGAGCACATTTGAAACACTCTTTTTGTGTAATTTGCTAGTGCAGATTTCAAGCTCTTCGAGGACAATGGTAGGAAAGGAAATATCTTTGTATTAAAACTAGACAAAATCATTCTCAGAAACTACTTTGTGATGTGTGCGTTCCACTCACAGACTTTAACCTTTCTTTTAATTGAGCAGTTTGGAAACACTCTCTTTGTAAAGTCTGCAGTAGGATATTTGGACCTCTTTGAGGCCTTCGTTGGAAACGGGATTTCTTCATATAATGTTAGATAGAAGAATTCTCAGTAACTTGTTTGTGTTGTGTGTATTCAACTAACAGAGTTGAACCTTCCTTTAGAAAGAGCAGTTTTCAAACACTCTGTTTGTGCAATTTCCAATGGAGATTTCTAGGGATTTGAGGCCAGTCTTAGAAATGGAAATATCTTTGTATAAAAACTAGACAGTGTCATTCTGAGATACTACCTTGTGATGTGTGCATTCAACTCACAGAATTTAACCTTTCTTTTCATAGAGCAGTTTGGAAACACTCTATTTGTAAAGTCTGCAAGTGGATATTTGGACCTCTTTGAGGCCTTCGTTGGAAACGGGATTTCTTCATATACTGCTAGACCAAAGAATTCTCAGTAACTTCTTTGGGTTGTGTGTATTCAATTCAGAGAGTTGAACCTTTCTTTAGACAGAGCAGATTTGAAACTCTCCTTTCGTTGCTTTTGCAAGTGGAGATTTCAAGCGATTTGAGGCCAATTGTAGAAAAGGAAATATCTTCGTATAAAAACTAGACAGAATCATTCTCAGAATCTACTTTGTGATGTGTGCGTGCAACTCACGGAGATTAACCTTTCTTTTCATAGAGAAGTTTGGAAACACTCTGTCTGTAAGGTCTGCAAGTGGATATTTAGATTTCTGTGAGGCCTTCATTGCAAACGGGATTTCTTCATATACTGCCCGACAGCAGAATTCTCAGTTACTACTTTCTGTTGTGTGCATTCAACTCACAGAGTTGAACCTTCCTTTATTCAGAGCAGTTTTGAAACACTCTTTTTGTGGAATTTGCAAGTGGAGATTTCAAGGGATTTGAGGCCAATCTTAGAAATGGAAATATCTTCGAATTAAAACTACACAGAATCATTCGCAGAAACTAGTTTGTGATGTGTGCGTTCAACTCACAGAGTTTAACGTTTCTTTTCATAGAGCAGTTTGGAAACGCTGTCTTTGTAAAGTCTGCAAGTGGATATTAGGACCTCTTTGAGGCCTTCGTTGGAAACGGGATTTCCTCCTATAATGCTAGACAGAAGAATTCCCAGTCACTTCTTTGTGTTGTGTGCATTCAACTCAGAGATTTGAACCTTCCTTTAGAGAGAGCACATTTGAAACACTCTTTTTGTGTAATTTGCTAGTGCAGATTTCAAGCTCTTCGAGGACAATGGTAGGAAAGGAAATATCTTTGTATTAAAACTAGACAAAATCATTCTCAGAAACTACTTTGTGATGTGTGCGTTCCACTCACAGACTTTAACCTTTCTTTTAATTGAGCAGTTTGGAAACACTCTCTTTGTAAAGTCTGCAGTAGGATATTTGGACCTCTTTGAGGCCTTCGTTGGAAACGGGATTTCTTCATATAATGCTAGATAGAAGAATTCTCAGTAACTTGTTTGTGTTGTGTGTATTCAACTAACAGAGTTGAACCTTCCTTTAGAAAGAGCAGTTTTCAAACACTCTGTTTGTGCAATTTCCAATGGAGATTTCTAGGGATTTGAGGCCAGTCTTAGAAATGGAAATATCTTTGTATAAAAACTAGACAGTGTCATTCTGAGATACTACCTTGTGATGTGTGCGTTCAACTCACAGAGTTTAACCTTTCTTTTCATAGAGCAGTTTGGAAACACTCTATTTGTAAAGTCTGCAAGTGGATATTTGGACCTCTTTGAGGCCTTCGTTGGAAACGGGATTTCTTCCTATAATGCTAGACAGAAGTATTCTCAGTCACTTTTTGTGTTGGGTGCATTCAACTCAGAGATTTGAACCTTCCTTTAGAGAGAGCACATTTGAAACACTCTTTTTGTGTAATTTGCTAGTGCAGATTTCAAGCTCTTCGAGGACAATGGTAGAAAAGGAAATATCTTCGTATGAAAACTAGACAAAATCATTCTCAGAAACTACTTTGTGATGTGTGCATTCCACTCACAGAGTTTAACCTTTCTTTTAATTGAGCAGTTTGGAAACACTCTCTTTGTAAAGTCTGCAGTAGGATATTTGGACCTCTTTGAGGCCTTCGTTGGAAACGGGATTTCTTCATATAATGCTAGATAGAAGAATTCTCAGTAACTTGTTTGTGTTGTGTGTATTCAACTAACAGAGTTGAACCTTTCTTTAGACAGAGCAGATTTGAAACGCTCTTTTCGTGGCTTTTGCATGTGGAGGTTTCAAACGATTTGAGGCCAATGGTAGAAAAGGAAATATCTTCATATAAAAACTAGAGAGAATCATTCTCAGAAATTACTTTCTGATGTGTGCGTGCAACTCACGGAGATTAACCTTTCTTTTCATAGAGCAGTTTGGAAAGACTCTGTCTGTAAGGTCTGCAAGTGGATATTTAGATTTCTGTGAGGGCTTCGTTGCAAACGGGATTTCTTCATATACTCACAGAAAGAAGAATTCTCAGTAACTGTTTGTGTTGTGTGCATTCAACTCACTAAGTTGAACCTTCGTCTATTCAGGGTATTTTTGAAACACTCTTTTTGTGGAATTTGCAAGTGGAGATTTCAAGGGATTTGAGGACAATCGTAGAAAAGGAAATATCTTTGTATTAAAACTACACAGAATCATTCTCAGAAATTAGTTTGTGATGTGTGTGTTCAACTCACAGAGTTTAACCTTTCTTTTTATAAAGCAGTTTGGAAACACTCTATTTGTAAAGTCTGCAAGTGGATATTTCTACCTCTTTGAGGCCTTCATTGGAAACGGGATTTTTTCATATAATGATAGACAGAAGAATTCTCAGTAAATTCTTTGTGTTGTGTGTATTGAACTCAGAGAGATGAACCTTCCTTTAGACAGAGCAGGGTTGAAACACACTGTTTGTGGAACTTGCAAGTGGATATTTCAAGCGATTTGAGACCTATATTAGAAATGTAAATATGTTCGTATAAAAACTACACAGAATCATTCTCAGAAACTACTTTGTGATGTGTGCGTTCAGCTCACAGAGTTTAACCTTTCTTTTCATAGAGTAGTTTGGAAACACTCTGTTTGTAAAGTCTGCAGGAGGATATTTGGACCTCTTTGAGGCCTTCGTTGGAAACGGGATTTCTTCATACAATGTTAGATAGAAGAATTCTCAGTCACTTCTTTGTGTTGTGTGCATTCAAATCACAGAGTTGACCCTTCCTTTAGACAGAGCAGTTTTAAAACACTCTGTTTGTGGAATTTCTAATGGAGATTTCTAGGGATTTGAGGCCAGTCTTAGAAATGGAAATATCTTTGTATAAAAACTAGACAGAGTCATTCTGAGAAACTACCTTGTGATGTGTGCGTTCAACTCACAGAGATTAACCTTTCTTTTCATAGAGCAGTTTGGAAACACTGTGTTTGTGAAATCTGCAAGTGGATATTTGGACCTCTTTGAGGCCTTCGTTGAAAACGGGATTTCTTCATATAATGTTAGATAGAAGAATTCTCAGTAACTTGTTTTGTGTTGTGTGTATTCACCTAACAGAGTTGAACCTTCCTTTAGACAGAGCTGTTTTAAAACACTCTGTTTGTGGAATTTCCAATGGCTATTTGAAGCGATTTGAGGCCAATCATTGAAATGGAAATATCTTCGTGTAAAAATTAGACAGAATCATTCTCTGCAACTACTTTGTGATGTGTGCGTTCAACTCACAGAGTTTAACTTTTCTTTTCCTAGAACAGTTTGGAAATACTCTTTTTGTAAAGTCTGCAAGTGGATATTTGGGCCTCTTTGTGTCCTTCGTTGGAAACGGGTTTCCTTCATATAATGCTAGACAGGAGATTTCCCAGTAACTTCTTTGTGTTGTGTGGATTCAACTCACATAGTTGAACCTTTCTTTAGACACAGCAGATTCGAAAATCTGTTCTTGTGTACTTTGCAAGTGGAGATTTCAAGCGATTTGTGGCCCATGGTAGAAAGGAAATATATTCGTATAAAACTAGACAGAATCGTTCTCAGAAACTACGTTGTGATGTGTGCGTTCAACTCACAGAATTTAACCTTTCTCTTCATAGAGCAGTTTGGAAACACTCTGTTTGTAAAGTCTGCAAGTAGATATTTGACCTCTGTGAGCCCTTCGTTGGAAAAGGGATTTGTTCATATAATGCTAGACGGAAGAATTCTCACTAATTTCTTTCTGTTGTTTTTATTCAACTCACAGAGTTGAACCTTTCTTTAGACAGAGCAGATATGAAACACTCATTTCGTGGCTTTTGCAAGTGGAGATTTCAAGCGATTTGAGGCCAATGGTAGAAAAGGTAATATCTTCATATATAAACTAGACAGAATCATTCTCTGAAACTACTTTTTGATGTGTGCATTCAACTCACAGAGATTAACGTTTCTTTTCATAGAGCAGTTTGGAAAACTCTGTCTGTAAGTCTGCAAGTAGATATTTGGACTTCTTATAGGCCTTCATTGGAAAAGGGATTTCTTCATATACTGCTAGACAGAAGAATTCTCAGTAACTTCTTTCAGTTGTGTGTATTCAACTCACAGAATTGAACATTACTTTATCCAGAGAAGTTTTGAAATACTCTTTTTGTGGAATTTGCAATTGGAGATTTCAAGAGGTTTGAGGCCATTCTTAGAGATGGAAATATCTTCGCATTAAAACTACATAGAATCATTCGCAGAAACTAGTTTGTGATGTGTGCGTTCACCTCACAGAGTTTAACCTTTATTTTGATAGAGCAGTTGGGAAACACTCTATTTGTAATGTCTGCATGTGGATATATGGACCTCTTTGAGCCCTTCGTTGGAAATGGGATTTCTTCCTATAATGCTAGACAGAAGAATTCTCAGTAACTTCTTTGTGTTGTGTGCATTCAACTCACAGAGTTGAACGTTCTTTAGAGAGAGCAGATTTGAAACACTCTTTTTGTGGAATTTGCTAGTGCAGATTTGAAGCGCTTCGAGGACAATGGTAGAAAAGGAAATATCTTCGTATTAAAACTAGACAAAATCTTTCTCAGAAAATACTTTGTGATGTGTGCGTTCAACTCTCAGAGTTTAACCTTTCTTTTCATGAAGCCATTTGGAAATACTCTGTTTGTTAAGTCTGCAAGCGGATATTTTGACCTCTTTGAGGCCTTCGTTGGAAACCGGATTTCTTCATATACTGCCAGACCGAATAATTCTCAGTAACTTCTTTGTGTTGTGTGTATTCAACCCACAGAGTTGAACCTTTCTTTAGACAGAGCAGATTTGAAACTCTCTTTTCGTGGCTTTTGCAAGTGGAGATTTCAAGCGATTTGAGGCCAATGGTAGAAAAGGAAATATCTTCGTATAAAAACTAGACAGTATCATTCTCAGAAACTACTTTGTGTTGTGTGCTTTCAACTCACAGAGTTTAACCTTTCTTTTCATAGAGCAGTTTGGAAACACTCTGTTTGGAATATCTGCAAGTGGATATTTGGACCTTTTTGACACTTTCCTTGGAAAAGGGATTTCTCCATGTATTGCTAGACAGAAGAATTTTCAGTAACTTCTTTGTGTTGTGTGTATTCAACTCACAGAGTTGAACCTTTCTTTAGACAGAGCAGTTTTGAAACTCTCTTTTCGTGGCTTTTGCAAGTGGAGATTTCAAGCGATTTGACGCCAATGTTAGAAATGTAAATATCTTCATATAAAAGCTACAGAGAATCATTCTCAGAAACTACTTTGTGATGTGTGCGTTCAACTCACAGAGTTTAACCTTTCTTTTAATTGAGCAGTTTGGAAACACTCTGTCTGTAAAGTCTACAAGTGGTTATTTGGATCTCTTTGAGGCCTTCGTTGGAAAAGGGATTTCTTCAGATAATGCTAGACAGAAGAATTTTCAGTAACTTCTTTGTGTTGTGTCTGTTCAACTCACAGTTTTGAAACTTCCTTTACACAGAGCAGATTTGAAACACTCTTTTTGTGGAATTTGCAAGTGCAGATTTCAAGCGCTTCTAGGCCAATTGTAGAAAAGGAAGTATCTTCGTATAAAAACTAGACAGAATCATTCTAAAGAACTACTTTGTGATGTGTGCATTCAACTCACAGAGTTTAACCTTTCTTTTCATAGAGCAGTTTGGAAACACTCTGTTTGTAAAGTCTGCAAGTGCATATTTGGACTTCTTTGAGGCCTTCGTTGGAAACGGGATTTCTTCATATAATGCTAGACAGAAGAATTCTCAGTAACTACTTTGTGTTGTGTGTATTCAACTCACAGAGTTGAACCTTCCTTTAGACAGAGCAGTTTTGAAAAACTCGTTGTTGTGGAATTTGCAAGTGGAGATTTCTAGCGATTTGTGGCCAGTCTTTGAAATAGAAATATCTTCTTGTAAAAACTGGACAGAATCATTCTCAGAAACTACTTTGCTATGTGTGTATTCAACTCACAGAGTTTAACCTTTATTTTCATAGAGGAGTTTGTAAACACTCTGTGTGTAATGTCTGCAAGTGGATATTTAGACCTCTTTGAGGCCTTTGTTTGAAACGGTATTTCTTCATGTAATGCTAGACAGAATAATTCTCACTAACTTCTTTGTGTTGTGTGTATTCAACTCATAGAGTTCAACCTTCCTTTAGACACAGCAGATTCGAAACTCTCTTTTTGTGGAATTTTCATGTGGAGATTTCAAGTGATTTGTGGCCAATTGTAGAAAAGGAAATATCTTCCTATAAAAACTAGAGAGAATCATTCTCAGAAACTACTTTGTGATGTGTGCATTCAACTCACAGGGTTTAACCTTTCTTTTAATTGAGCAGTTTGTAAACACTCTCTTTGTAAAGTGTGCAAGTGGATATTTAGACCTGTTTGAGCCCTTCGTTGGAAACGGGACTTCTTCATATAATGCTAGACAGAAGAATTCTCAGTAACTTCTTGGTGTTGTGTGTATTCAACTCATAGAGTTCAACCTTCCTTTAGACACAGCAGATTCGAAACTCTCTTTTTGTGGAATTTTCATGTGGAGATTTCAAGTGATTTGTGGCCAATTGTAGAAAGGGAAATATCTTCCTATAAAAACTAGAGAGAATCATTCTCAGAAACTACTTTGTGATGTGTGCATTCAACTCATAGGGTTTAACCTTTCTTTTAATTGAGCCGTTTTTAAACACTCTCTTTGTAAAATGTGCAAGTGGATATTTAGACCTGTTTGAGCCCTTCGTTGGAAACGGGACTTCTTCATATAATGCTAGACAGAAGAATTCTCAGTAACTTCTTGGTGTTGTGTGTATTCAACTGACGGAGTTGAACCTTCCTTTAGACACAGCAGATTTGAAACTCTCTTTTTGTGGAATTTTCAGGTGGAGATTTCAAGCAGTTTGAGGACAGTGGTAGAAAAGGAATTATCTTCGTATAAAAACTAGAAAGAATCATTTTCAGAAACTGCTTTTTGATGTGTGCATTCAACTCACAGAATTTAACCTTTCTTTTCATAGATTAGTTTGGAAACACTCTGTTTGTAAAGTCTGCAAGTGGATATTTGGACCTCTTTGAGGCCTTCGTTGGAAACGGGATTTCTTCATATAATGCTAGACAGAAGAATTCTCAGTAACTTCTTTGTGTTGCGTGTATTCAACTCACACAGTTGAAACTTCCTTTAGTCAGAGCAGATTTGAAACACTGTTTTTGTGCAGTTTGCAAGTGGAGATTTCAAGAGTTTGAGGCCAATGGTAGAAAAGGATATATCTTCGTATAATAAGTAGATACAATCATTCTCAGAAACTACTTTGTGATGTGTACGTTCCACTCACAGAGTTTAACCTTTCTTTTCATAGAGCAGTTTAAACACTCTGTTTCTAAAGTCTGCAAGTGGATATTTGGACCTCTTTGAGGCCTTCGTTGGAAGCAGGGTTTCTTCGTATAATGCTAGACAGAGGAATTCTTAGTAACTTCTTTGTGTTGTCTGTACTCAACTCACAGAGTTTAACCTTCCTTTAGACAGAGCAGGTTTGAAACACTCTTTTTGTGGAATTTGCAAGTGGAGATTTCAAGTGGTTTGGGGCTAATGGTAGAAAAGGAAATATCTTCGTATAAAAACTAGACAGAATTATTCTCAGAAAGTACTTTGTGATGTGTGCATTCAACTCACAGAGTTTAACCTTTCTTTTCATAGAGTAGTTTGGAAACACTCTGTTTGTAAAGTCTGCAAGTCGATATTTGGACCTCCTTGAAAGCTTTGTTGGAAAAGTTAGTTCTTCATATAATGCTAGACAGAAGAATTCTCAGTAATTTTTTTGTGTTGTGTGTATTCAACTCTCAGAGTTGAACCTTCCTTTAGATAGAGCAGATTTGAAACTCTCTTTTTGTGGAATTTCAAGTGTAGATTTCAAGCGCTTTTGGGACAATGGTAGAAAATTAAATATCTTCCTAGAAATACTAGAGAGAAGCATTCTCAGACACTATTTTCTGATGTGCACGTTCGACTCACTGAGATTAACCTTTCTTTTCATAGAGCAGTTTTTCAACACTCTGTTTGTAATGTCTGCAAGTGGATATTTGGACCCCTTTGTTGCCTTCGTTGGAAATTGTGGGGAAAAGCAAGAGAGATCAGATTGTTACTGTGTCTGTGTAGAAAGAAGTAGACATAGGAGACTCCATTTTGTTATGTACTAAGAAAAATTCTTCTGCCTTGAGATTGTTAATCTATAACCTTACCCCCAACCCCGTGCTCTCTGAAACGTGTGCTGTGTCAACTCAGAGTTAAATGGATTAAGGGCGGTGCAAGATGTGCTTTGTTAAACAGATGCTTGAGGGCAGCACTCTCCTTAAGGGTCATCACCACTCCCTAATCTCAAGTACCCAGGGACACAAAAACTGCAGAAGGCCGCAGGGACCTCTGCCTAGGAAAGCCAGGTATTGTCCAAGGTTTCTCCCCATGTGATAGTCTGAAATATGGCCTCGTGGGAAGGGAAAGACCTGACCGTCCCCCAGCCTGACACCCGTAAAGGGTCTGTGCTGAGGAGGATTAGTAAAAGAGGAAGGAATGCCTCTTGCAGTTGAGACAAGAGGAAGGCATCTGTCTCCTGCCTGTCCCTGGGCAATGGAATGTCTCGGTATAAAACCCGATTGTATGCTCCATCTACTGAGATAGGGAAAAACCGCCTTAGGGCTGGAGGTGGGACCTGCGGGCAGCAATACTGCTTTGTAAAGCATTGAGATGTTTATGTGTATGCATATCTAAAAGCACAGCACTTAATCCTTTACATTGTCTATGATGCAAAGACCTTTGTTCACGTGTTTGTCTGCTGACCCTCTCCCCACAATTGTCTTGTGACCCTGACACATCCCCCTCTTTGAGAAACACCCACAGATGATCAATAAATTCTAAGGGAACTCAGAGGCTGGCGGGATCCTCCATATGCTGAACGCTGGTTCCCCAGGTCCCCTTTTTTCTTTCTCTATACTTTGTGTCTGTGTCTTTTTCTTTTCCAAATCTCTCGTCCCACCTTACGAGAAACACCCACAGGTGTGTAGAGGCAACCCACCCCTACAGAAATGGTATTTCTACATTCAATGCTAGACAGAAGAATTCTCAGTAACTTCTTTGTGTTTTGTGTAATCAACTCACAGTGATGAACCTTCCTTTAGACAGAACAGATTTGAAACTCTCTTTTTGTGGAATTTTCAGATGCAGATTTCAAGCGATTTGAGGCCAATGGTAGAAAAGGAAATATCTTCGCATAAAAACTAGACAGAATCATTCTGAGAATCTTCTTTGTGATGTGTGCGTTCTACTCACAGAATTTTACCTTTCTTTTCACTGGAAGAAAGGGTGTCATTGATGGAAGATCAAATGAATGAAATCTAGTGAGAAGAGAAATTGTGAGAAAAAAGAACAAAAAGAAATGAACAATCTTCGAAGAAATATGGGACTATGTGAAAAGACCAAATCTGATTGGTGTACCTGGACGTGATGGGGAGAATGGAACCAAGTTGGAAAACGCTCTGCAGGATATTATCCAGTAGAATTTCTCCAATCTAAGAAGGCAGGCCTACATTGAAATTCAGGAAATACAGAGAATGCCTCAAAGATACTATTGGAGGAGGGCCACTCCAAGACACATAATTGTCAGAAACACCAAATTTTAAATGAAGGAAAAAATGTTAAGAGAAGCCAGAGAGACAGGTCAGGTTACCCACAAAGGGAAGCCCATCAGACTAACAGCTGATGTCTCAGCAGAATCTCTACAAGCCAGAAGAGTGTGGGGGCCAATATTCAAAGAGAAGAATTTTAATCCAGAATTTCATATCCACCCGAACTAAGCTTCATAAGTGAAGGAGAAATAAAATACGTTACAGAGAAGCAAATGCTGAGAAATTTTGCCACCACCAGGCCTGCTCTAAAGAGCTCCTGAAGGAAGCACTATACATGGAAAGGAACAACAGGTGCCAGCCACTGCCAAAACATGCAAATTGTAAATACCATTGAGCCTAGGAATAAACTGCATCAACTAATGAGCAGAATAACCAGCTAACATCTTAATGACAGGATCAAATTCACACAAAATAATACTAACCTTAAATGTAAATGGGCTAAATGCTCCAATTAAAAGACACAGTCTGGCAAGTTTGATAGAGTCAAGACCCATCAGTGTGCTGTATTCAGGAAACCCATCGCACATGCAGAGACACATATAGGCTCAAAATAAAGGGATGGAGGAAGATCTACCAAGCAAATGAAAACAAAAAAAGTAGGGGTTGCAGTCCTAGTCTCTGATAAAACAGACTTTAAACCAACAAAGATCAAAAGAGACAAAGAAGGCCATTACATAATGTTAAAGGGATCAATTCAACAAGAAGAGCTAACTATCCTAAACATATATGCACCCAATACTGGAGCACCCAGATTCATAAAGCAAGTCCTTGGAGACCTACAAAGAGACTTAGACTCCACACAGCAATAATAGGAGACTTTAATACCCCACTGTCAACATCAGACAGATCAGCGAGGCAGAAATTTAACAAGGATATCCAGGAATTGAACTCAGCTCTGCACCAAGTGGACCTAATAGACGTCTACAGAACTCTCCACCCCAAATCAACAGAATATATATTCTTCTCAGCACCACACCACACCTATTCCAAAAATGACCACATAGTTGGAATTAAAGCAGTCCTCAGCAAACATAAAAGAACAGAAATTACAACAAACTGTCTCTCAGACCACAGTGCAATCAAACTAGATCTCAGGATTAAGAAACTCACTCAAAACCAATCAACTACATGGAAACTGAACAACCAGCTCCTGAATGACTACTGGGTACATAACGAAATGAAGGCAGAAATAAAGATGTTCTTTGAAACCAATGAGAACAATGACACAACATACCAGAATCTCTGGGACACATTCAAAGCAGTGTGTAGAGGGAAATTTATAGCACCAAATGACCACAAGAAAAAGCAAGAAAGATCTAAAATTGACACCCTAACATCACAATTAAAAGAACTAGAGAAGCAAGAGCAAACACATTCAAAAGCTAGCAGAAGGCAAGAAATAACTAAGATCAGAGCATAACTGAAGGAGATAGAGACACAAGAAACCCTTGAAAAAATCAATGAATCCAGGAACCGGTTTTTTTGAAAAGATCAACAAAATTGAAAATACTCTTTTTAAATAATATGTGAAGGGACATTGGGGAGCCCTTTAAGCCTATCTGGTAAAACTGAATATCCCTGATAAACACTGGAAAGAAACTAACTGTGAAACAGTTTTGTGATGTGTAGATTCATCACAAATTTTAAACCTTTGTTTTGATTCAGCCAGTAGGCAACACTCTTTTTGAACCATCTGCAAAAGGACAGTTGGGATCCCATTGAAGCCTATGGAGAAAAACAGAATATCACCAGATTAAAACCAGAAAGAAGCTCTGTGAAACTTCTCTCCAATGTGTGGATTCATATCACAGAGTTAAGCCTTTCTTTTGATCCAGCATGTTGGAAACTCTCTTTTCATAGAATCTACAAAGGTACATTTAAGAGCCCATTGAGGCTTATGAGCAAAACCAGAAATTCCCCAGTTAAACAACTCAAAAGAAGATATTTGTGAAACACTTTGTGTTGTGTGGATTCATCTAACAGAGGAAAACTTTTCTTCTGATCCAGCAGGTTGGTAGCACTCTTTTTGGAGAATCTACCAAGTACATTTTGGAGCCCATTGATGCCTACAAAGAATAACAAAATAGCCTCAGATAAAAACTAGAAAGAACCTATCGAGGAAACTGCTTTGTGAAGTGTGGATCCATCTCAGAGAGTTAAACCTTTATTTTGGTACAGCAGGTTATAGACAATCTTTTTGTAGAATCTGTGGAGGGATGTTTCGGAGTCCATTGAAGCCTATGTGTAAAAACTGAATAACCCATGATAAAAACTAGAAAGAAACTATCTGTGGAACTGCTTTGTTATGTATGGATTCAAATCACAGAGTTAAATGTTTATTGCAATACAGCAGGTTAGAAACACTCTAATTGTTGAATGTGTGAAGGGACATGTTGGAGCTCATTTTGGCCTATGAGGAACAAGAGAATATCCCCAGATTAAAACTAGAAAGAAGCTATCTGTGAAACATCTTTGTGATGTGTACATTCATCTGATAGAGTTATAGCGATCTTTTCATTCAGCAGGTTGGAGACACTCTTTTTTTTTCCAAAGGGATATTTAGAACCCCATTGAGACTTAGGGGGAAAAAATGAATATCCCTAAATAAAAACTAGAAAGCAGCTTTCTGTGAAACTGCTTTGTGATGTGTGGACTCATCTTACAGAGTTACAATTTTCTTTTGATTCAGCAGGTTGGAAACACTCTTTTTGTAGTATGTGTGAGGAGACATTTTGGAATCCTTTGAGGCTTACAAAGTAAATCCAAATATCCCCAGATAAAAACTAGAAGGAAGGTATCTGTGAAACTGCTTTGTGATGTGCAGATGGATATCACAGATTTAAATCTTTCTTTTGATAAAGCAGATTGAAAGTAATCTTTTTGGAGAATCCCCAAAGGCACATTTGGGAGCCCATTGAGGCCTGTGGGGACAAACAGACTATCCCCAGATAAAAACTAGAAAGAAGCTATCTGTGAAACTGCTTTGTGATGTGTGGATTCATCCACAGAGTTACAACTTTCTTTTGATTCAGCAGGTTAAAAACACTCTTTTTGTAGTATGTGTGAAGAGACAGTTTGGAGCCCTTTGAGACTTATGGAGTAAAACCAAATATCCTCAGATAAAAACTAGAAGGAAGCTATCTGTGAAACTGCTTTGTGATGTGTGGATGGATCTCACAGAGTTAAACCTTTTTTTTTCATACAGCAGATTTTTGAGAATCTGTGAAGGAACATTTGACAACCCATTGAGGCTCATTGGTTAAAACTAATATCCTCACATAAAAACTAGAAAGAAGCTATCTGTGAAACTGTTTTGTGACATGTGAATTCATCTCACTGAATTAAACCATTTTTTTGACACAGCAGGTTGGACATGCTCTTTTTAGACAACCTGCAGAAGGACATTTGGAAGCCTATTGAGGCCTACGGGGAAAAACGGAATATCCCCAGATAATAACTAGAAAGAAGCAATCTGTGAAACTGCTTTGTGCTGTGGGGGTTCATGTCACAGGAATAAATATTTTTTTTTGATTCAGCAGGGTGGAAACACTCTTTTTGCAGAATCTGCAAAGGGATATTTGGGAGCCCATTGTGTCCTAAGGGGAAAACAGAGTATCCTCAAATTAAAACTATAAAGAAGCTATCTGTGACACTGCTTTGTGATCTGTGGATTCATCTCACAGAGGTAAACCTTTCTTTGTATTCACCAAATTAAAAACCACACTTTTTGTAGAATCTATGAAGGGATATTTTGGAGCCCATTAATGCCTATGAAAAAAACTGAATATCCCCAGATAAAAAATAGAAAGAAGCTATCTGTGAAATTGGTTTGTGATGTTTGGGTTTTCTCACAGAGTTAAATCTTTCATTTGGTTCAGCAGGTTATAAACACTCTTTTTGTAGATTTACTAAGGGATATTTTGGAGCCATTTAAACCCTATTAAAAAAAACTGAATATCCCCAGAAAAAAATTAGAAAGAACCTATCTGTGAAACTGCATTGTGTTATATGGATTCATCTCACAGAGGTAAAACTTTCTAGTGTTTCAGCAGATTGGGTATATGCTAATTTTTGAATCTGCAAAGGGACATTTGGGAGCCCTTTGATGCCTTGTAGAAAAAGTTAATATCCCCAGATTAAAACTAGATAGAAACTATCTGTGAAACTGCTTTGTGATTTGTGGATTAATCTCATAGATTAAACCATTCTTTTGATCTAGAAGGTTGGAAACATTCTTTTCATATAATCTGGGATGGACGTTTGGAAGTCCATTGAGGCATATTAGTAAAAAATTAATATCCCAAGATAAAAACCAGGAAGAAGCTATCTGTGAAACAGCTTGGTGTTTGGTGGATTCATCCCACTTTGTTAAAAATTTCTTTTCATCCAGCAGGTTAGAAACCCTCTTTTTGTAGTATCTTCAAAGGGACATTTTGGAGACCATTGACGCCCATTGGGAAGAACAAAATATCCCCAGATAAAAATTAGAAAGAAGCTATATGTTAAACTGCTTTGGGTTGGGTGGATTCATCTCACAGAGTTAAACTTTTCTTTTGATTCATCAGATTGGAAAAACTATTTTTGTAGAATCTGGGATGGGACATTTGGGAGCCCATTCAAGCCTATGGGGAAAAAAAGATTATCCCCAGATAAAAACTGGAAAGAAGCTATCTTTGAAACTGCTTTGTGACAGGTGGATTCATCTCTCAGAATTAAATCTTTCTACTGATCCAGAAGGTTTTAAATACTCTTTTTGTAGAATCTGTGAAGGGACATGAGTGAGTCCATTGAAACCTGTGGATAAAATACAAATATCCCCAGAAAAAAACTAGAAAGAAGCTGTCTGTGACAGGTCTTTCTCTTGTGTGGATTCACGTCAAGGAGTTAAACCTTTCTTTTGATTCAGCAGGTTGGAAACACTCTAATTGGAGAATCTGTGAAATAACTTTTGGGAGCCCATTGAGGTCTATGAGGGAAAACCGAATATTTTTAGACAAAACCTAGAAACCGGCTATCTGTAAAACTATGTTGTGATGTGTGGATTTATCTCATAGAGCTAAAACTTTAATTTGATTCAGCAGGTTGGTAACACTCCTTGTAGAGAATCTGCTAAGGGACATTTGGGAGCCCATTGAAGCCAAGGGAGGAAACACTTAATACCCCCAGAAAGAAGCTATTTGTGAAACTGCTTTGTGATGTGTGAATTCATCTCACAGAATTAAACTTTTCTTTTTATTCAGTAGCTTGGAAACACTCTTTTTGGAGAATCTGTGAAAGGACATTTTGGATTCTTTTTTATCCTTGGGAAAGGAAATAAATATTCCCATTTAAAACTGGAAAGAAGCAATCTGTATAACTGCTTTGTGATGTGTAAATTCATCTCACAGAGTTAAAACTTTCTTTTAATTCAGCAGGTTGAAAGCACAGTTTTTGGAGAACCTGGGATGGAACATTTGGGGGCCCATTGAAGCCTATGGGGAGAAACAGAATATCCCTTGACAAAAACTAGAAAGAATCTATCTGTGAAAACGCATTGTGATGTGTCCATTTATCTCACCGAGTTAAACCTTTCTTTTGATTCAGCAGGGTGGAAATACCCTTTTTATAGACTCTTTGAAGGGACATTTGGGAGCCCATTGTGGCCTATGGGGAAAAAGTAAATATCCACAGATAAAAACTAGAAAAATGCTATTTGGGAAACTGTTTTGGTATATGTGGATTCATCTCACAGATTAAACCTTTCTTTTGATTCAGAAGGTGGGAAACACTCTTTTAAACAGTCTGCAAAGGAATATTTAAAAGCCCATTTAGCCCTATGGAGAAAAACAAAATATCCTCAGGTAAGAACTAGAAAGAAGCTATCTGTGAAATTGCTTTGGGTTGTGTAGATTAATCTCATAGAGATAAAACTTTCTTCTGATTCAGCAGGTTGGAAACACTGTTTTTGGAGAATCTGTGAAGAGACATTTGGGAGCCCACTGAGGCCTATCAGGGAAAACCAAATATACCCACATAAAAACTAAAAGAAGCTATCAGTGAAACTTTTTTGTGATATGTGGATTCGTCTCACATACTTAAACCTTTCTTTTCATACAACAGGTTGAAAACACTCTTTTTGGAGAATCTGTGAAGGGACATTTGGGAGGCCTTTGAAGCCTACAGGGAAAAATTGTACATCCCTGGATAAAAACTAGAAAGAAGCTATCTGTGAAACTGCTTTGTGATGTGTGGATTCAACTCTCAGAGTTAAAACTTTCTTGTAATTCATTAGGTTGGAAACCGTCTAATTGTTGAATGTGCGAAGAAATATTTTGGAGACCATTGTGGCCTATGTGGAACAAGAGAACATCCCCAGATAAAAACTAGAAGTAAGCTATCTGTGAAACTGCTTTGTGATGTCTGGATTCATCTTATAGAGTTTGACCGTTTTTTTAATACAGCATGTTGGAAACACTCTTTATGGAGAATCTTTGAAGGTATATTTAAAGGCCCTTTGAGGCCTATGTGGAAAAACCGAATATCCCCAGATAAAAACTAGAAAACAGCTTTCTGTGAAACTGTTTTGTGATGTGTGGGCTGGACTAACAGAGTTAAAGCTTCATTTTGATTCAGCAGGTTGGAAACTCTTTTTGGGTATTCTGTGAAGGGACATTTGTGAGCCCTTGAATCCTATTGGGAAAAACTGAATATCCCCAGATAAAAACTCAGAAAAAGCTGTCTATAAAACTCCTTAGTGATGTGTTGATGCATTTCAGAGTTAAACCTGCCTTTTGATACAGCACATTGAAAATAATCTTTTTGGAGAATCTGCGAAGGGACATTTGGGAGCCCATTGAGTCCTATGCAGTAAAGCTGAATATCTCCAGATAAAGACTAAAAAGAAATTATCTCTGACACGGTTTTGTGATGTGTGGATTCATCTCACAAAGTTAAACCTTCCTTTGGTTCAGCAGGTCAGAAGCCATCTTTTTGGAGAATCTGTGAAGGGTTATTTTGTGTCCCATTGAGGCCTATGTGGAAAAATGGAATATCCCCAGATAAAAACTAGAAGAAACTATCTGCAAAACTGATTTGTGATGTGTGGATTCATCTCAGAGAGTTAAAATTTCCTGTGATTCAGCAGGTTACAAACACTCTTTTTGTAGAATATGTGAAGAGATATTTGGGAGCCCTTTGAGGCCTATGAAGAAAAACGAAGTATCCCCAGGTAAAAACTAGAAAGAAGCTGTTTGTGAAACTGCTTTGTGATTTGTGGATAAATCTCTTAGAGTGAAATGTTTCTTTTGATTCAGTAGGTTGAAAATATTATTTTTGGAGAATCTGAGAAGGAACATTTTTCAGCCCATTGAGGCCCATGGTTTAAAACTGAATATCCCCACGTAAAATCTAGAAAGACACTATCTGTGATACTGCTTTTTGATGTATGGATTCATCTCACAGACATAAACATTTCTTTTGATTCAGCAGGTTGAAAACTTTCTTTTTGTAGTACCCTCTAAGTTATATTTGGGAGCCATTTGAGGCCTATGAAGAAAAACTGAATATCCCCAGATAAAAACGAGAAAGAAGTTATCTGTGAAACTGCTTCATGATATGTAAATTCATCTTACAGAGTTAAACTTTTTTTTGTGACTTAGCATGTTGGAAACACTCTAATTCTTAAATTTGCAAAGGTACATTTCACTGCCCTTTGAGCCCTGCAGGGAAAAATGTGAATATTCCCAGATTAAAACTAGAAAGAATATTTTTGTGAAACTGCTTCGTGATGTGTGGATACATTTCATAGAATTAAACCATTCTTTTGATCCAAGAGATGGAAACTCTCTTTCTGTAGTATCTGGGAAGGGACATTTAGGAACCCATGGAGCCCTATTGGTAAAAACTTAATGTCCCCACATAAAAACTAGAAATAAGCTAACATTGAAACTGCTTTGTGTTGGGTGGATTCATCTCACAGAGCAAAACTTTTCTTTTGATTCAGCAGGAGGGAAACACTCTTTTTGAACAATCTGTGAGGGATATTTGGGAGCCCATTGAGCCTTATCAAGAAAAACTGAATATCCTGAGGTAAAAACTAGAAAGAATTTATCTGTGAAACGGCTTTGTGATAAGTGGATTCATCTCACAGAGTTACACCTCTCTTTTGATTCAGCAAGATTGAAACACCCTTTTTGGAGAATCTGCAAAGGGACATTAGGAAGCCCATGGAGGTCTAAGGGGAAAAACTGAATATTCCCAGATAAAATCTAGAAGGGAGCTATCTGTGAAACTGCTTTGTGATGTGTGGATTCATCTCACAGAGGTAAATGTATCTCTTGATTCAGCAGGTTGGAAACACTTTTTAAAGAATCTTCAGTGGGACAATTGGGAGCCCGTTGAGGCCTAAGGGGAAGAAGAGAATATCCCCCAATAAAACTACAATAAAACTATCTGTGTAACTGCTTTGTGATACGTGGATTCATCTCACAGAAATAAACTTATCTCTTAATTCAGCAGGTTGGAAACCCTTCTATTGTAGAATGGGGCATTTGGGAGCCCATGGAAGCCTGTGTGGAAACCTATATTCCCAGATAAAAACAAGAAAGAAGCTATCTGTCAAAATGCTTTGTGATATGTGGATTCATCTCACAGGTTAAAGGTTTCCTTTGATTCAGCAGGTTGGAAAAACTCTTTATGGAAATTCTGGGGAGAGACATTTGGGAGACCATGGTGGCCTGTGGGGAAAAACTGAATATCTCTAGATAAAAACTGGAGACAGGCTACCTGGGAAACTGCTTCATGATGTATGGATTCATCTCACAGAGTTAAACCATTCTTTTGATTCAGCAGGTTGGAAACACTCTTTTTGTAGAATCTGCAAAAAGATATGTTGGAGCCCATTGAGGCCTATGGGTAAAAACCGAACATCTCCAGATAAAAAAAAATAGATGGAAGCTATCTGTGAAACTGCTTTTCGATGTTTGGATTATTGACACATAGTTCAACCTTCATTTTGATTCAGCAGTTTGGAAACACTCTTTTTGGAGAATCTCTGAAAGGACATTTAAGGGCCCATTGAGGTCTATGTGATAAAATTGAATAGCCCCAGAGAAAAACTAGAAAAAAACTATCTGAGAAACTGCTTTGTGATGTGTGGATTCATCTCACAGAGTTAAATCTTTCTTTTGTTTCAGCAGGTTAAAACAACTCTTTTGTAGAATCTGCAAAGGGACATTTTAGAGCCCATTTTTGTCTACAGGAAATAACCAAATATGCCAGATAAAACTAGAAAGCAGCTATCCCTGAAACTTGTTTTTATTTGTTGACTCAACAAATAAATTGTAACTCAATGAGTTACAATTTCTTTTGATTCAGCAGGTTGGAAGTGCTCTTTTAGGAGAATCTGCAAAGGGACATTTGGGAGCCAATTGAGGCCTATAAGGACAAACTGAATATCCACAGATACAAAGTACAAAATAGCTATCCATGAAACTGCTTTGTGATGTGGGGATTCATCTCACAAATGTAAAGCTTTTGTTTGATTCAGGAGGTTGAAAACACTCTTTTTGGAGACTCTGTGAAGGGACATTCAGGAGTCCTTTGAGGCCTATGAGGAAACAATGGATTATCATCAGATAAAGACTAGAAAGAAGCTATCTGTGAAACTGCTTTGTGATGTGTGGATTCATCTCACAGATTTAAAACTTTCTTCTGATTCACCAAGTTGGAAACCCTCTTTTTGGACAGTCTGCAAAGGAACATTTTGGATTCCGTTGAGATCTATGGGGAATAACTAAATATCCCCAGATAAAAACTAGAAAGAATCTATCTGTGAAAATGCTTTGTGATGTTTGAATTCAACTCACAGAGTTAAACCTTTCTTTTGATTCAGCAGTTAGAAACACTCTTTGTGGAGGATATACGAAGTCATATTTGGCAGCCCACTGAGGCCTTTGGAGAAAAACAGAATATCCCCAGATAAAAACTAGAAAGAAGTTAACTGTGAAGCTGATTTGTGAGATGTGGATTAATCTCGAAGAGGTAAACTGTCTTTTGATTCATCAGGTTGAAAACACTCTTTTTGTAGAATATGTGAAGTGACATTTGGGAGGCCATTGAGGCCTACAGAAAAAAACCAATATCCTTAGATAAAAACTGGAAAGAAGCTATCTGTGAAACTGCTTTGTGATGTGTGGATTCATCTCACAGAGTTAAACTTTTCTTTGGATTCAGCAGGTTGGAAATACTCTTTTTGGAGTATCTGCAAAGGCATTTTTGGGTGTCTATTAAGGCCTATGGGGAAAAACTGAATTTCCACATATAAAAACTAGAAAGAAGCTATTTGTGAAACTGCTTTGAGGTGAAAGTATGCATCTCACAGATAAACTTTTTTTTGATACAGTCTGTTGAAAACACTGTTTTTGGAGAATCTATGAAGGGACATTTGAGAGCCCATTGAGACCTATGTGGAAAAACTGAATATCCAGAAATTAAACCAAGAAAGAAGCTATCTGTGAAACTGCTTTGTGATGTGTGAATTCATCTCATATGGCTAACTTTTTCTTTTGATTCAGCAGATTGGTAGCACTCTTTTTAGAGAATCTGCAAGGGACATTTTAGAGTGCATTGAGACCAATGGGGAAAACTGAATATTCCCCTATAAAAAGAAGAAAGAATCTAGCTCTGAAACTGCTTTGTGATTTGTGGATTCATCACAGAATGGTTAAACTTTCTACTGATTCACCAGGTTGGTAATACTCTTCTTGTAAAATCTGCAAAGGGACATTTGTGAGCCCAGTGAAGCCTGTGGTGCAAAATCGAATGTCCTCAGAGAAAAACTAGAAAGAAGGTATCAGTGAAATGGTTTTTTGAGGTGTGGATTCTTTTCACAGAGATAAACCTTTCTTTCTGTTCAGCATATTGGAAACACTTATTTTGGAGAACATACAAGGATACATTTGGAAGCCCTTTGAGGTCTATGGGGCGAAATCCAAAATCCCCAGATAAAAAGTAGAAAAAAGCTATCTGCAAAACAGCTTTGTGAAGTGTGGATTCTTCTCACAGAGTTAAACGAGTCTTTTGATTCAGCACTTTGAAAACCTCTTTTTGGAGAATCAGGTAAGGGGCATTTGGGAGCCCATTGAGGCCTACGGGGAAAAAACAAATTTTTCCTGATAAAAACTAGAAACAAACTATCTGTGAAACTGCTCTGTGAAGTGTGGATTCATTTCACAGAGTTAAACCTTTCTTTCAATTCAGTAGGTTGGAAAAGCTATTTTTCGAGCAGCTGAAAAGGGCCATTTGGGAGCCCAGTGATTTCTACGGGGCAAAACCAAATATTTCAAATAAAAAACTAGAAAGAAGCTATCTTTGAAACTGATTTGTAATGTGTGCATTCGTCATACAGAGTTAAAACTTTCTTTTGATTCAAAAAAATTGGAAACACTCTTTTTGGAGAATCTGCAAAGAGACATTTTGGAGCCCATTGTGTTCTATGGGGGAAAACCAAATATCCCCAGAAAAAAAAAAAACCTAGAAAGAAGCTGTCTGTGAAACTGCTTTTTGATGTGTGTATTCATCTCACAGATTTAAGCCTTTCTTTTGATTCAGCAGGTTGGAAACTTTCTTTTTGGAGTAACTGCAAAGGGATATTTCAGAGCCCTTTAGGGCCTATGGGGAAAAACAGAACACACCTAGATGAAAACTAGAAAAAAGCTATCTGTGAAACTCTTTCATGATGTGTGGATTTATCTCACAGAGTTAAAACTTTCTTTTGATTCAGCAGGTTGAAAACTCTCTTTTTGGAGAATCTGTGAAGGGACATTTGGGTGTCAATTTATGCCTATGGAGAAAAACTGACTACCCCCAGATAAAACTAGTAAGAAGCTACCTGTGAAACTGCTTTGCTATGTGTGGATTCATCTCATAGAGTTAAACCTTTCTTTTGATTCAGCAGGTTGGAAAAATTATTTTTGGAGAATCAGTGGAGGGACACTTGGGAACCCATTGAGGCCTACAAGTAAAATCAGAATGTTTTCAGATATAAACTAGAAAGAAGCTACGTGTAAAATAGCTTTGTAATGTGTGGATTTATCTTACAGAGATAAATCTTTATTTTGATCAAGTAGGTTGGCAACACTATTTTTGACAAATCTGCAAAGACACATTTGGGAGCCCATTGAGGCCTATGTGGAAAAACTGAATATCACCAGATAAATAGTAGAAAGAATCTATCTGTGAAACTCTCTTGGTGTGTGGATTCATCTCACATAGTTAAACCTTTCTTTGGATACAGCACTTTTGAAGCACTCTTTTTGTAGAATCTGTGAAGGGAGATTTGAGAGCATATTGTTTCCTGTGAAGGAAAATTGATTATTCCAAGATTAAAACTAAAAAGAAGCTACGTGTGAAACTGCTTAGTAATATGTGGACACACCTCCCAGAGTTAAACCTTTCTTTTGATTCACCAGGTTGGAAACACTTTTTTTGAAGAAAATTTAAAGGGACATTCGGGACCTCATTGGGGCCTACGGGGAAAAACAAAATATCCTCAGATAAAAACTGGAAAGAAGTTATGTGTGAAGCTGCTTTGTGAAGTGTGGATTCATTCCCCAATTCTAAACCTCTCTTTTGATTCAGCAGGTTGGAAACAATCTTTTTTTGGGAATCTGCAAAGTGACATTCAGGAGAACATTAAGGCTTATGGGGGGAAAAACAAATGTCCCCAGAAAAACGAGACAGAAGCTGTCTGTGAAAAAAACTGAATATCCCCAGGGGGAAAAAAAAAAAAAAACTAAGAAGAAGCTCTCTGTGAAACTGCTATGTGATGAGTGGATTCATCTCCACAGAGTTAAATATTTCCATTTATTCAGCAGTATGGAAACACTCTTTTTTGACAATATGCAAAACGATGTTTTGGAGCCCACTGAGGTCTATGGGTAAAAATCTACTATCCAGAGATAAAAACTAGAAAGAAGCTATCTGAGAAATTGCTTTGGGATGTGTGAATTCATCTCACAGAGTTAAAACTTTCTTTTGATTCAGCAGGCTGGAACATTGTTTTTGAAGTATCTGTGAATTTACGTTTGGGAACCCATTGAGGCCAATGGACAAAAACTGAATTTACTCAGATATAAACTTAAAAGAAGATATCTGTGAAATGGCTTTGTGATGTAAGGATTCATCTCACAGAGTTAAACCTATCTTTTGATTCAGCAGGTTGGAAACCCTCTTTTTGAAGAATATGAGAAGGGATATTTGGGAGATCATTGAGGCCTAAGAAGAAAATCCAAATATACCCAGATAAAAAACAGAAAGAAGGAATATGAGAAACTGCTTTGGGATGTGTGCATTCATCATACAGAATTAATCCTTTTTTTCTTTTTGATTCAGCAGGTGGGAGACATTCCTTTGCAGAATCAGCAAAGGGGCATATGGGAGCCCCTTGAGGCTTATGGGGAAAAGCTGAATATCTCCAGATGAAAAGTAGATAGAATCTATATGTGAAACTTCTTTGTTATGTGTGGATTCCTCTCACAGAGATAAACCTTTATTTTCATTCAGCAGGTTAAAAACACTTTTTGGAGAATCTGTGAAGGGACATTTCAGAGTGTACTGAGGCCTATGGGGAAAAACTGAATATCCACAGATAAAAACTGGAAAGAAGCTACCTGTGAAAGGGATTTGTGATGTATGGATTCATCTCACAGAATTAAACCTTTATTTGATTCAGCAAGTTCAAACACTCTTTCGTAGAACTGCAAAAAGATATTTGGGAGCCCTTTAAGACCTATGGGGAAAAACAAATAACCCACAGATGAAAACTAGAAAGAAGCTATCTGTGAAAATCCTTTGTGAGGTGTGGATTCATCTCACAGAGGTAAACTTTTCTTTGGATGTAGCAGGTTGGAAACACTCTTTTTGCAGAATCTGTGAAGGAACATTTGGGAGCCCAGTGAGGCCTATGTGGAAAAACTGAATATCCTCAGATAAAAACTAGAAAGAAGCCATCTGTGAAGCTGCATTTTGATTTGTGGATTCATCTCACATAGGTTAACCATTCTTTTGATTCATCAGGCTGGAAAAACTCTTTTTGGAGAATCTGCAAAGGGACATTTGGACATTTGGGAGCCCATGAAGGCCTATGTAGAGAAACCAAATATCCTCAGATAAAAAACTAGAAAAAAGCTATCCGTGAAACAGCTTCATGATGGGTGGATTGATCTCACAGAGTCAAACTTTTCTTTCAATTCAGGAATTTGGAAAAACTCTTTTTGGAGTGTCTGCAAAGGGACATTTGGGAGCCCATTGTGGCCTATGGAAAAAAAAGAATACCCCCAGATAAAAACTATAAAGAAACTATCTGTTAAAATGCTTCGTGATGTGTGGAGACATCTCACAGAGTTAAAACTTTCTTTTGATTCAGCATGTTGAAAGCACTCCTTTTGGAGAATCTGTGAAGGGACAATTTGGTAGCCCATTGGGGCTTAAGGGGAAAAAGAGAATACCCCAGATAAAAACTAGAAAGAAGCTATCCATGAAACTGCTTTGTGATGTGTAGATTCATATCACAGTGTTACTTTAAAACTTTCTTTTGATTCAGCAGGTTGAAAACACTCCTATTTTAGAATCGGCGAGGGGACATTTGAAAACCTATGATGCCTAAGGGTCAAAACTGAATATCCCCAGATAAAATCAAGAAAAAAATTATCCTTGAAACTGCTTTGTGATGTGTAGATTCATCTCACTAGTTATAAGTTTCTTTTGATCCAGCAGGTTGGAAACATTCTTTTTGGACAATCTGTGAAAAAAAGTTGGGAGTTCATTGAGGCATACAGGAGACAACAGAATATCCCCACTTAAAAACTAGAAAGAAGGCATCTGTGAAACTTGTGATGTGTGGATTCAACTCACCAGGTTAATCTTTTCTTTTTATTAAGCAGGCTGGAAACAATCTTTTTAGAGACTCTGCAATGGGTCATTTGGGAGCCTATTGAGGTCTATGGGGAAAAGTTATTTCCAAATATAAACTAGAAAGAAGCTATCTGTGAAACTGCTTTGTGATGTGTGGATTCATCTCACAGACTTATACCTTTCTTTTGATCCAGCAGCTTGGAAACACACATTTGCAGAATGTGTAAAGGGACATTTTTGAGCCTATTGAGGCCTCTGGGGAAAAAACGAATATCCTGAGACAAAAAACTAGAAATGAGCTATCAGTGAAACTGCTTTGTGATGAGTGGATTGGTCTCACAGAGTTAAACATTATCTTTGAGTCAGCAGATTGGAATCTCTTTTTATGTAGAATAAATGCAGGGACATTTGGGAGCCCATTTTGGCCTGTGTGGAAAAACAGTACATCCCCAGATAAAAACTATAAAGATGCTATCTGTGAAACTGCTTTGTGATGTGTGGATTCATCTCACAGACTTAAACAATTATTTTGATTCAGCAGGTTGGAAATACTCTTTTGGGATAATCTGTGCAGAGACATATGGGAGCCCATGGAGACCTATAAGGATAAATCAAATATCCCCAGATAAAAACTAGAAAGAAACTATGTGTGAGAATGCTTTGTAATATGTGGATGCATCTCAGAGTTAAACCTTTGTTTTGATTCTCCATGCTGGAAGCACTCTTTTTGTAGATTATGGGAAGACACATTCTACAAAATGCAAAGGTGCGAAGCTATCTTTGAAATTGCTTTGTAATATGTCTATTTATCTCAGAGCTAAACCTTTCTTTTTATTCACCGGGTAGGAACACTTTTATTCCAGAGCCTGCAAAGGGACTTATGGGAGCCCATTGTGGCATTTGGGAAAAAACTGATATTCCCAGATTAAAACTAGAAATAAGTTATCTGAGAAACTACTTTGTGATGGATGAATTCACCTCAGAATGTTCAACCTTTCTTTTGATTCAGGAGGTTGAAAACACTCTTTTTGGAGAATGTGCAAAAAAACATTTGCGTGCCAGTGAGGCCTGTAGTGAAAAACCGATTATCCCCAGACAAAAACTCGATAAAATTTATGTGTGAAACTGCTTTGTGATGTCTGGATTCATCTCACAGACTTAAATCTTTCCTTTGATTTAGCAGGTTGGAATCAACCTTTCTGGGGAATCTTCAAAGGGACATTTGTGAGCCATATTAGGCTTATGTGGAAAAACTGAATATCCCCAGATTAAAAATACAAAGAATCTATCTATGAAACTGCTTTGTTACATGTGGATTCATCTCACAAAGTTAAATCTTTCTTTTTATTCAGCAGGTTGGAAACACTTTTCTTGGAAAATCTTCAAAGGGACATTTTGGAGCCCATTGAAGCCTAAGGGGCAAAATCAGATATCCCCAGATAAAAACTAGAACAAAGCTATCAGTGAAACTATTTTTCAATGTGTGGATTAATCTCCCAGAGTTAAAACTTCCTTTTGATTCAGCAGTTTGGAAACACTCTGTTTGAAGAATCTGCAAAGGGACATTTCGGAGCCCATTGAGGCCTATGGGGAAAAAGCAAATATTCCCTAATAAAAACTAGGAAGAAGCTATTTGTGAAACTGCTTTGTGATGTATGGATTCATCTCACAGAGCTAAAGGTTTCTTTTGATTCAGGAGGAGGAAAACCCTCTTTTTGGAGAATCTGTGAAGGGAAATTTGGGATCCCATTCAGTTTTATGGGGAAAAACTGAACATCCCCAGATAAAACCTAGAAAGAAGCTATGTGTGAAACTATTTTGTGATGTGTGGATTTATCTAAAAGAGTTAAATATTTCCTTTGATTCAGCAGGTTGTAAACACTCTTTTGGAAAAATCTGTGAAGGGACATTTGGGAGCTTATTAAGGCCTATGGGGAAAAACTGAATATCCCCAGATTAAAACTACACATAAGCTATCTGTGAAACTGATTATTGATGTGTGGATTTATCTCACAGAGTTTAACTTTTCCTTTGATTCAGAAGGTTGAAAGCACCTTTCAACCTTTGTTGAGAGGAGAATTTGTGAAAGGACATTTTGGAACCCTTTGAGGCCTATTGAGAAAAACTAAAATAACCCCAGATACAAACCAGAGAGAAGCTATCTTTGAAACTGCTTTGTGATGTGTTTGTCCATCTCACAGTGTTAAACCTTTCTGTTAATTCAGCAGGTTGGAAACACTCTTTTTGGACAATCTGCGAAGGGACATTTGAAAGCCGATTGAGTTTTATGGAAAAAAACTGAATATCCGCAGACAAAAACGAAAAAGGAGCAATCTGTGAAACTGCTTTGTGACGTGTGGATTCATCTCACAGAGTTAAAAGATCCTTTTGATTCAGCAGGTCAGAAACACTCTTTTTAAGAATCTATGAAGGGACATCTGGGAGCCTATTGAGGACTACATGGAAAAAAAGGAATATTCCCTGATAAAAACTGGAAAGAAATTATCTGTGAAACTGCTTTGTGATATGTGGATTCATCTAACAGAATTAAACATTTCTTTTTATTCAGCAGATTGGAAACACTCTTTTTGGATAATCTGCAAAGGAACATTTAAAAGCCTATTGAAGCCTATGGGGAAAAACCAAATAACGCCAGACAAAAAATAGAAAAAAGCTGTCTGTGAAACTGCTCTGTGATGTGTGGATTCATCTCACAGATTTAAAACTTTCCTTTGATTCAGCAGGTTGGAAACACTTTTTTGGGAGAATCTGCGAAGTTAAATTTAGGTGTCCATTGTGTCCTAGAGGAGAAAATAGGATATCCCAAGTTAACAACTAGAAAGAAGCTATCTGTGAAACTGCTTTGTGATGTGTGGATGCATCACAGAGTTAAAACTTTATTTTGAATCTACAGGTTACAAACACTCTTTTTAGAGAATATGTGAAGGGACATTTGGGAGTCCCTTGAGGCCTATGGAAAAAAACTGAATATCCCCAGATAAAAACTAGAAAGAACCTATCTGTGAAACTGCCTTGTGATGCATGGATTCATCTCACAAAGTTAAACCTTTCTTTTGATTCAGCAGGGAGGAAACACTCTTTTTGGAGAATCTGCGAAGGGACTTTTGGGAGCCCATTGGGTCCTATAGGGAAAAACCAAATATCCTGAGATAAAAACAGGAAAGAAGCTATCTCTGAAACTGCTTTGTGATATGTGAATTCATCTCACAGAGTTAAACCAATCCTTTGATTCAGCAGGTTTGAATGACTCTTTTTGGAGAATCTGTGGAGGGACATTTGGGAGCCCATTGAGGCCTAGGGGCAAAACGAAATATCTCCAGATAAAAACTAGAAAGAAGCTCTTTGTGAAAC
The DNA here is from genome assembly GCF_000001405.40 of Homo sapiens. Classification (NCBI taxonomy): domain Eukaryota; kingdom Metazoa; phylum Chordata; class Mammalia; order Primates; family Hominidae; genus Homo; species Homo sapiens. Next base: position 41,733,021 of record NC_000010.11, read on the forward strand.
TGTTTTGTGATGTGTTGATTCTATAACAGAGTTAAACTTTTCTTTTGATTCACCAGGTTGGAAACTCTCTTTTTGCAGAATCTGTGAAAAGACATTTAGGAGCCGATTGAGGCCTATGGTGCAAAACCAAATATCACCCCCCTAAAAACTAGTAAGAAGCTATTTTTAAAACTGCTTTGTGGTGTGTGGATTCATCTCACAGAGTTAAACATTTCTTTTGTTTCAGAAGGTTGGAAACACTCTTTTTGGAGAATCTGTGAAGAGACATTTGGGAGTCCATTGAGACCTTTATGGTCAAACAAATATCCCCAGATAAAAACTAGAAAAAAGTAATCTGTGAATTGGCTTTGTGATTTTTGGATTCATCTCACCCAGTTAAACTTTTCTTTTGATTCAGCAGTTGGAAATCCTCTTTGGGGAATCTGCAAAAAGACATTGCATAGCCCATTGACATTTATGGGCAAAAACTGAATATCTCCACATAAAAACTAGAAAGAACCTATCTGTGAAACTGATTTGTGATGTGTGGATTCATCTTACGGAGTTAAACGTTTCTTTTGTTTTCACAGTTTGGAAACACTCTTTTTGAGAATCTGTGAGAGGATATTTCAGAGCCCATTGAGGCTTAGGGGTAAAATTGAATGTCCACAGATAATAATTAGAAAGAACATATCAGTGAAACTGCTTTGTGATGCATGGATTCATCTCACTGAGTTAAGTATTTCTTTTGATTCAGCAGATTTTAAACACTCTTTTTGGAGAATCTGCAAAAGGACATTTAGTAGCCCATTGAGGCATATGGGCAAAAACAGAATATCCTCAGATAAAAATGAAAAAGAAACTGTCTGTGAAACTGCTTTGTGATGTATGGATTCATGTCACAGAGTTAAACCTTTCTTTTGATTAAGCAGGTTTGAAAAACTCTTTTTGGAGAATCTGTGAGAGACAGTTATGAGCCCATTGAGGCCTAGGAGGAAAAACCAAACATCCCCAGATGAAAACTAGAAGGAAGCTATCTTCAAAATTGGTTTGTTTTGTGTGGATTCATCTCACAGAATTAACACTTTCTTTTGATTCAGCACTTTGGAAACACTGTTTTTGGAGAATCTGTGAAGGGACACTTTAGAGCCCATTGAGTTCTATGGGGAAAAACAAAATATCCCCCGATCAAAACTAGAAAGAAGCTATCTGTGCAACTGCTTTGTGATATTTGGATTCATCTCACAGAGTTAAACTTTTCTTTTGATTCAGCAGGTTGAAAACACTATTTTTGAGACTTTGCAAAGGCATATTTGGGGGACCATTAAAACTTATAGGGCAAAGCTGAATATCCTTATACAAACCTAGAAAAAGGGTGTCTAAAAAACTGGTTTGTGATATGTAGATTCATCTCACAGTGTTTAACGTTTCTCTTGATTCATCAGGTTGAAAACACTCTTATTGGAGAATCTGCAAAGGGACATTTGGGAGCCCTTTCAGGCCTATGGGGAAAAGACAAAAATCCCCATTGAAAAACTAGAAAGAAACAATCTTTGAAACTGCTTGGTGATGTGTGGATTCATCTCACAGTTAAAAATTATTTTCATTCAGCAACTTGGAGAAGCTATTTGTGTAGAATCTGCGAAGAAACTTATGTGAGCCCATTGAGGCCTATTGGGAAAAACAAATATCCCCAGATAAAAACTAGAAAGAAGCTACTTGTGAAACTGCTTTGTGATGTGGGGATTCATCTGACAGAGTTAAACCATTCGTTTGATTCAGCGGGTTGGAAACACTGTTTTGGAAAATTGGTGAATGGACATTTGGGAGCCTTTTTAGGTCCAAGTGAAAAAAGTGAATATCTCCTAATAAAAACTAGAATGACACTATATATGAAACTGCTTCATGATATGTGGATTCATCTCACAGAGTTAAACTTTTCTTTTTTCATCACTTTGAACACACTGATTTTGGGGAATCTGTGAATGGAAATTTGGAAGCCCATTGAGGCTTTTGGGGAAAAACCAAACTTTCCTGGATGAAAACTAGATAGTAGCTGTATACTAAACTACTTTGTGATGTGAGGATTCATCTCATAGAGTAACCCCTTTCCTTTGATTCAGCAGAATGGAAGCACTCTTTTTGGAGAATCTGGGAAGGGACACTTTGTAGGCCATTGACACCTATGGGGGCAAAACTGAGTAGTCCCTGATAAAAAGCACAAAGAAGATATATTGAAACTGCTTGTGATGTGTGGGTCATCTCACAGAGGTAACTCTTTATTTCGATTCAACAGGTTAAAAAGACACTTTTTGGAAAATATGTGAGGAAACATTGGGAGCCCATTAAGGGCTATGTTGAAGAGCCAAGTATCCCCACATAGAAACTGGAAAGAAGTTATCTGTGAAACTGCTTTGTGATGTGTGGATTCATCTCACAGAGTTATAACTTTCTTTCAATTCAGGAATTTGGAAAATTTTTTTGGAGTATCTGTGAAGGGACATTTGGGAACCCATTGAGGACTATGGGTAAAAACAGAATATTCCCAGATAAAAACTAGAAACAAGCTATCTGTGAAACAGCTTTGTGATGTGTGGGTTCATCTCACATAGTTAAATATTTCATTTGATTCAGTAGGTTGGAAAGACTCTTTTTGGAGATACTGCGAAGGGATATTTTGGAGCCCAGTGAAGACTATGGGGAATAACCCAGTACCCACAGAGAAAAACTAGAAAGAAGCTTTGTGAAAAACTGCTTTGTGATGTGTGGATTCATTTCACAGTGTTAAACCTTTCTTTTTACTCAGCACGTTTGAGAACACTCTTTTTGGAACATCTATGGATGGACTTTTTGGAGCCCTTTGGGGACTATGGTAACAAAAACCCTAATATCCTGAGACAAAACAAGAAAGAAGTTATTGTGAAAGTGCTTTGTGATGTATGGATTCATCTCAAAGAGTAAAACTTTTCTTTTGATGCAGAAGTTTGGAAACACTCTTTAAAGTATCTGCAAAGGGACATTTGGGAACCAATTGAGGCCTACGGTGAAAAGAATAATATATCCAGAGAAAAACTAGAAAGAAGATATCTGTGAAACTGCTTTGTGAAGTGTGGATTAACCTCACAGACTTAACGCTTTCTTTTGATTCAGCAGGTTGGAAAAACTGTTTTTGGAGAATCTGCAAAGGAACAATTAGAATCCCATTGAAGCCTAAGGGCAAAGGAATATCCTCAGAGAAAAACTAGAAAGAAGCTATCTGTGAAATTGCCTTGTGATGTGTGGATTGACCTCACAGAGTTAAACCTTTCTTTTGATTCAGCAGGTTGGAAACACTCTTTTTGGAGAATGTGTAAAGGGATATCTGGGTGTCCACTGAGGCCTATGGGGCAAAACTGAGTATTCCCTGATAAAAAGAACAAAGAAGATACCTTGAAACTTCTTGTGATGTGAGGGTCTTCTCACAGAGGTAAAGCTTATTTTGATTCAACAAGTTGGAAAGACTACTTTTGGAGAATCTGTGAGGAAATATTTGGGATCCCATTAAGGCCTATGTGGAAGAGCTGAATATCCCCAGATAGGAACTATAAAGAAGCTATATGTGAAACTACTTTTTGATGTGTGGATTAATCTCACAGAGTTAAAACTTTCTTTTGATTCAGCAGTTTGAAAACACTCTGGAGAATCTGTGAAGGGACTTGGGATTCCATTGAGTTTTACGGGAAAAAACTGAACATCCCCAGATTAAACCTAGAAAGAAACTATGTGTGAAACTGCTTTGTGATCTGTGGATTCACCTCAAAGAGTTAAACGTTTCCTTGGATCCAGCAGATGGGAATAATCTTCATGAAGATTCTGTAAAGGGACATTTGGGAGCTCATTCAGGCCTATGGGGAAAAAATGAATATCCCCAGTTAAAAACTACAAATAAGCTACCTGTGAAACTTCTTATTGATGTGTGAGCTTATCTCACAAAGTTTAACATTTCCTTTGATTCAGAAAGTTGAAAGCATTCATTCTGGAGAATTTGCAAAGGGACGTTTGGGAGCCTTTTGAGGCCTAGGTGGCAAAACCAAATAATCTCAGATATAAACTAGAAAGAAGCTATCTCTGAAACTGCTTTGTGATGTGTTGGTTCATCTCACTGAGTTAAAACTTTCTTTTGATTCAGCAGCATGAAAACACTGTTTTTGGAGAATCTACCAAGGGACATTTGAGAGCCCATTGAAGCGTATGGGGAAAAACAGAATATCACCAGCTAAAAACTTCAAAGAAGCAATCTGTGAAACAAATTTTTAGTTTGTGATGTGTGGATTCATCTCACAGAGTTAAAACTTTCTTTTGATTCAGAAAGATGTGGGCAATCTTTTTGGAGAATCTGCAAAGGGACATTTTGTAGTCCATTGATGTCTATGGGGAAAAACTGAGTAGTCTCTGATAAAAAGTACAAAGAATATATCTTGAAGCCGCTTCTGATGAGTGGGTCATCTCACAGAGGAAAGCTTTCTTTTGATTCAACAGGTTAAAAAGTCACGTTTTGGGGAATTTTGAAGAATCATTTGGGAGCCCATTAAGGCCTATGTTGAAGAGCAGAATATCCCCAGATAAAAGCTAGAAAGAAGCTATCTGTGAAAGTACTGTGTGATGTGTGGATTCATCTCACAGAGTTAAACCTTTCTTTTGATTCAGCATGTTGGAAACACTCTTTTTGCTGAATCTGCATAAAGACAGTTTGGAGCTCATTGAAGTCTATAGGTAAAAACCAAATATTCCTGGATAAAACCTAGAAACAAGCTATCTGTGAAACTGCTTTATGATGTGTGGATTCATCTCACAGAGTTAAACCTTTCATCTGATTCAGTAGGCAGGAAACAATCTTTTTGGAGATTCTGCAAAGGGACATTTTGGAGCCCAATGATTACTATCTGGAATAACCAAGTATGCACAGAGAAAAACTAGAAAGAAGCTTCGTGTAAAACTGCTTTGTGATGTGTGGATTCATTTCATACTGTTAAACATTTCTTTTTATTCAGCACATTGAAAATACTCTTTTTGGAAAATCTACAGATGGGCATTATGGAGCCCTTTATGGACGATAGTAACAAAAAAAACCTAATATCTTAAGATTAAAAACTAGAAAGAAGCTATCTGTGAAACTGCTTTGTGATGTGTGGATACATCTCAAAGAGGTAAACCTTCCTTTTGATGTAGAAGTTTGGAAACACTCTTTTTAAAGAATCTGAAAAGGGATATTTGGGATCCCATTGAGGCCTCTGGTGATAAGAATAACATACTTAGACAAAAACTAGAAATAAGCTATCTGTGAAACTGCTTTCTGTTGCGTGGATTCATCTAACAGAGTTAAACCTTTGTTTTGATTCAGCAGATTGGAAACACTCTTCTTAAAGAATCTGTGAAGGGAAATTTCAAAGCCTATTGAGACCTTTGGGGGAAAACGGAATATCCTTAGATGAAAACTACAAAGAAGCTATGTGTAAAACTGCTTTGGGATGCATGCATTAATCTCACAGAGGTTAACCTTTCCATTGATTCATCAGGTTGAAAACGATCTTTTTGCAGAATCTGCAAAAAGACATTTTTGAGCCCTTTGAGGCCTTTGGGGAAAAATCGAATATCCTCAGATAAAAACTAGAAAGAAGCTATTTGTGAAACTGCTTTGTGATGGGTGGATTCATCTCCCAGAGTTAAAACATTCTTTTGATACATCAGTTTGGAAACACTCTTTTTGCAGAATTGGTGAAGAAACATTTGGGAGCCCATTGTGGCCTATGGAGAAAAGCTGAATATCTGCAGAGAAAAAGTAAAATTGAAGCTATATGTGAAACTGTTTGTGATTTGTAGATTCCTTTCACAGAGTTTAAACTTTGGTTTGATTTATCAGGTTGGAAACAGTCTTTTTGGAGCATCTGTGAGGGGACATTTGGGAAGCCATTGATGTTTGTGGGGAAAAAAACAAACATCCCCCAAATAAAATCTAGAAAGAAGGTATCTGTGAAACGTTTTTTGATTTGTGGACTCTTCTCACAGAATTAACCCTTTCTCTTGATTCAGCAGATTGGAAACACTTTTTTTGGAGAATCTGTGAAGGGACTTTAGGGAGCCCAATGAGGCCTACAGGGAATAACCTAACATCCCAAGATAACAACAAAAAAGAAGCTACCTTTGAAACTGCTTTGTGATGTGTTGATTCATCCCACAGAGTTAAACCTTTCTTTTGATTCAGTAGGTTAGATACACTCTTTGGAGAATCTGGAAGGGACATTTTGTAGCCTATTGAAGTTTATGGGACAAAACTGAATATCCCCAGATAAGAACTAGAAAGAAGTTCTCTGTGAAACTGCTTTGTGATATGTACATTCATCTCACAGAGTTAAACCTTTCTTTTGAGTAAGCAGGAAAGAAACATTATTTTGGAGAATCTGCAAAGGAATATTTCAAAACCCATTGAGGCCTATGGGGAAAAACTGAATATCCCCAGATAAAAACTAGAAATAAGCTATATTCAAAACAGCTTTGTAGTGTGTGGATTCATCTTATAGAGTGAAACATTTGTTTTGATTCAGCGGGTTGAAAACACTCTTTCTGGGAATCTGCAAACTGACAATTAAGAGCCCATTGAGGACTATGAAGAAAAAAAATCATCCCCAGATCGAAACTAGAAGGAAGATATCTGTGAAACTGCTTTGTGATGTGTGGATTCATCTCACAGACTTAAACCTTTCTTTTCATTCAGCAGGTTGGAAACACTCTGTTTTGAGAATCTGCAAAAGGACATTTGGGAGCCCATTGAGACCTATAGGGAAAAATTGAACATTTCCTGATAAAAGCAAGAAGGAATCTATGTGTGAAACTGCTTTGTGATGTGTGGAATCATCTCAAAAACGTAAATATTCTTTAGATTCGGCAGATGGGAGCATTCTTCTTGGTGAAATTGTGAAGGAATATTTGGGAGACAATTGAGGACTTTGGGGAAAAACTGAATATCCCCAGATAAAAACTACAAGGAAGCTATCTGTAAAACTGTTTTGTGATGTGTGGATTCATCTCATGAAGTTTAACCTTTCCTTTGATACAGCAGGTAGAAAACTCTCTTTTTGCAGGATCTGTGAAAATACATATTTGAGCCCATTGAGGTGTATGTGGCAACATTGAATATCTGCAGACAAAAACTAGAAAGAAGTTCTCGGTGAAACTGCATTGTGATGTTTGGATTCATCTCACAGAGTTAAACCTTTCTTTTGATTCAGCAGGTTGTAAACACTCTTTTTGGAGAATCTGTGAAGGGACATATTGGAGCCCATTGAGGCCAAAGGGGAAAAAATTCAATGTGCTCAGATAAAAACTAGAAAGAAGCTGTCTGTGAAACTGCTTTGTGACTTGTGGATTCCCTGCACAGAGTCTAAACTTTGTTTTGATTTCTCAGGTTGGAAACACTCTTTTTGGAAAATCTATGAGAGGACATTTGGGAGGCCATTGAGGCCTGTGGGGAAAAACCAAACATCCCCAGAATAAAAACTAGAAAGAATCTATCTGTGAAACCACTTTTTGATATGTGGACTCTTGTCACAGACTTAAATCTTTCTCTTGATTCAGCAGATTAGAATCACTCCTTTTGGAGAATCTGTGAAGGGACACTTGTAGCCCATTGAGGCCTAAGGGGAATAACAAAACATCCCCAGATAAAAACAAGAAAGAAGCTATCTTTGAAACTGCTTACTGATGTATTGATTCATCCCACAGAGTTTAACATTTCATCTGGTTCAGCAGGTGAGAAACACTCTTTGGAGAATCTGGAAGAGACATTTTAGAGCCTCATTGAATTTTATGGGACAAAACTGAATATCTGCAAATAAAAACTAGAAAGAAGCTCTCTGTGAATCTGCTTTGTGATATGTGGATTCATCTCACAGAGTTAAACCTTTCTTTTGAGTCAGCAGGTAGAAAACATTCTTCTGGAGAATCCTCAAAGGGATATTGCAGAACCCTTTGAGGCCTATGGGGAAAAATGTAATATCACCAGATAAAAACTAGAAAGAAGCTACTTTTGAAACAACTTTGTAATGTGTGGGTTCTTCTCACAGAGATAAAACTTTCTTTTCATTCAGCAATTTGGAAACACTGTTTTTGTACATTCTGTGAATGGACATTTGGGAACAACTTGAGGACTATGGTGAAAAATAAATTATCTTCAGATAAAAATTAGAAGGAAGCTTTCTGATGAACTGCTTTGTGATGTGTGCACTCATATCAGACATGTAAATCTTTCTTTTGATTCAGCAGTTTGGAAACACAGTTTTTCTCCATTTTGTGAATGGACATTGGGAGCTCATTGAGGGCAAAAGTGAAAAAGTGAATAAACCAGGTTAAAAATGAGAAGAACAATATCTGAGAAACTGCTTTGTGATTTGTGCATTCCTCTTGCTGAGTAAATCCTTTCTTTTCATTCAGCAGTTTGGAAACACAGGTTTTGTAGAATCTTCTAAGGGATATTCAGAAGCACATTGAGGCCTATGGTGAAAAAGGAATTATTTTCAGATAAAAACTAGAAAGAAGTTTTTTCAGAAACTGCTTTGTGTGTGTGAATTCATCTTACAGATTTAAACCTTTCTTTTGATTCGGCATTTTGTAAACACTTTTTCCATTCTGCAAATGGGTATTTGGGTGCTCATTGAGGCCAATGGCAAAAAAGAGATTATCCCAAGGTAAAAACTAGAAGAAGGTATCTGAGAAAACACTTTGTGATGTGTGAATTCATCTCACAGAGTTAAACCATTCTTTTGATTCAGCAGTTTGGAAACACCATTTTTGTGCAATCTGTGAATGGACATTTGGGAGCTCATTGAGGCCAATGGTGAAAAAGCGAATATGCCAGGACAAAAACTAGAAGGAAGATATCTGAGAAACTGCTTTGTGATGTGAGCATTCATCTCACACAGTGAAATTTTTCTTTACCTTCAGCAGTTTGGAAACAGTGTTTTTGGGGAATCTGCAAAGGGATATTTGGGAGCACATTGAGGTCTATGGTGAAAAAAAGAAAATAATTTCAGATAAAAACAAGAAAGAAGCTTTCTGAGAAACTGCTTTGTGGTGTGTGCATTTGTCTCACAGAGATAAGCCTTCCTTTTGATTCAGCAGCTTAGAAACACAGTGTTTGTCCATTCTGGGAATGGACATTTGGGAGATCACTGAATCTAATGGCAAAAAAGCAAATATCCCAGGATAAACAACAAGAGGAAGCTATCTGAGAAAGAACGTTGTGATATGGGAATTCATCTCCCAGAGTTAAACCTCTCTCTGAAGTTAGAAGCACTGTTTTTGTACATTCTGTGAATGGACATTTGAAAGTGCATAGAGACCCATAATGTAAAAGGAAATATCTTCTGACAAAAAATTGAAGGAAGCATTGTGAGAACATTCTTTGTGATGTGTGCATTCATCTCACAGAAGTAAACTTTTCATTCGGCAGTTTGGAAACACTTTTTTTGTACTGTGAATGGACATTCGGAAGTGCACTGAGGCTATTGTGAAAAAAATCTTCTGATTGAAAGTAGAAAGAAACTTCGTGAGAAACTGCTTTTTGAAGTGTGCATTCATTTCACATAGGTAAACCTTTCTTTTCATTCAGAAGTTTGGAAACACTGTTTGTAGAAACTGCATAGGGATATTTGGGAGTGCATTAACACCTATGATGTAAAAGAAAATATCTTCCAATAAAAACTAGAAGGAAGCTTTCTCATAAACTGCTTGTGATCTGTGCATTCAAATCACAGGGTTAAACATTTCTTCTGATTCAGCATCTTGGAAACAGTGATTAATCCATTCCACAAATGGACATTGGGAGCTCATTGAGGCCAATAGCGAAAAAGTGAACATACCATGTTCAAAACTAGAAGGAAGCTATTTGAGAAACTGTTTTGTGATGTGTGCATTCATCTCACCAAGTAAAACCTTTCTTTTATTTCAGCAGTTTGGAAACACCATTCTGTAGAAACTTCTAAGGGATATTCAGAAACACATTGAGGTCAATGGTGAAAAAGGAAATATCTTCAGATAAAAACTAGAAAGAAGCTTTCTGAGAAACTACTTTGTGATGTGTGAATGCATCTCACAGTGTTAAACTTTTCTTTTGATTCAGCATTTTGGAAAAACTGTTTTTGTCCATTCTGCAAATGGACATTTTTGTGCTCATTGAGGCCAATGGCGAAAAAGGGAATATTCCAAGATAAAAACTAGAAGGAAGCTATCTGAGAAATCACATTGTGATCTGTGCATTCATCTCGCAGACTTAATCCTTCTTTTCATTTAGCAGTTTGGAAACACTGTTTTTGTAGAATCTGCAAAGGGATTCAGGAGTTTGGAAACACTGTTTTTCTATTGTCTGCAAAGGGATATTTCGGAGTGCATTGAGGCCTATGGTGAAAAATAAAATATCTTTAGATAAAAATAAGAAACAAGCATTTTGAGAAACTGCTTTATGATGTGTGGTTTCATTTCGTAGAGTTAAATATTTCTTTACATTCAGGAGTTTGGAAACACCGTTTTTGTAGAATCTGTGAAGGGTTATTTGGGAGCACATAGAAGCCTATAGTGAAAAGGAAAATATCTTAGGATAAAACCTAGAAAAAAACTTTATGAGAAACTGCTTTGTGATGTGTGCATTCACCTCACAGTTAAACTTTCTTTTGATTTAGCAGTTTGGAAACACTGTTTTTTTCCATTCTGTGAATGGATATTTGGGAGCTCATTGAAACCAATGGTGAAAAAATGAATATCCCTGGATAAAAACGATAAAGAAGCTGTATGAGAAACTGCTTTATGATGTGTGCTTTAATTTTGCAGAGTTAAATATTTCTTTACATTCAGGAGTTTGGAAACACTGTTTTTCTATTATCTGTGAAGGGATATTTGGGACTACATTGAGGCCTATGGTGGAAAAGAAAATATCTTCAGATAAAAATAAGAAACAAGCATTTGGAGAAACTGCTTTGTGGGATTTACATTCATTTCACAGAGATAAACTATCCGGTTGATTCAGCAGTTTGGAAACCCTGTTTTTGTCCATTCTGCAAATGGACATTTGAGAGGTCATTGAGGCCAATGGGAAGAAAGTGAATATCCTAGGATAAAAACTAGAAGAAAGCTATCTGAGAAACCGTTTTTGATGAGTGCATTCATCTCACAGAGTTAAACTTCTCTTTTCATTCAGGAGATTGGAAACATTGCCTTTGCAGAATCTGTGAAGGGATATTTGGGAGCACAATGAGGCCTCTGATGAAAAAAAAATCTTCATATATAAACTAGAAAGAAACTCTCTAAGAAACTGTGGGCAGTTAGGAAACATTGTTTTTGTCCATTCTGCAAATGGACATTTGGGAGCTCATTGAGGCCAATGGTGAAAAATGGAATATCGCATGATAGAAACTAGAAGGAAGTGACCTGAGAAACGACTTTGTGATGTGTACATGCATCTCACAGAGTTAAGCCTCTCTTTTCATTCAGCAGATTGCAAACACTGTTTTTGTAAAATCTGTGAAGGGATATTTTGAAGAACACTCGGGCCTGTGATAAAAAAAAATCTTCAAATAAAAACTAGAAAGAAGCTATCTGAGAAACTGCTTTGTGATGTGTGCATTCATCTCACAAAGTTAAACCTTTCCTTGGATTTAGCAGTTTTGAAACACTGTTTTTGTCTATTCTGAGAATGTACATTTTGGTCCTCATTGAGGCCAATGGCAAAAAAGTGAATATCCCAGGATAAAAACTATAAGGAAACGATCTGAGGAACTGCTTTGTGATGTGTGCATTCATCTCGCTGAATAAAACCTATCTCTTCATTCATCAGTTTTGCAACCCTGTTTTTGTAGGGTCTACGAATGGGCATTTCGGTGCTCATTGAGGCCAATGGCAATAAAGCAAATATTCCAGGATAAAAAAATCCAAGGAAGGTATCTGAGAAACCACTTTCTGATGTGTGCATTCATCTAATAGAGTTAAACATTTCTTTTCATACAGCAGTTTGGAAACACTGTTTATGTAGAATCTGCAAGGGATATTTAGGAGCCCATTAGGCCTATGGTGAAAAAGAAAACATCTTCAGATAAAATCTAGAAAGTAGATTTCTGAGAAACTGCTTTGTGATGTGTGCATTCATCTGACAGAGTTAAGCCTTTCTTTAAATTCAACAGTTTGGAAACAGTCTTTTTCCTCTCACAGATTTATATTTTTTCTTTTCAATCAGCAGTTTGGAAATACTGTTTCTGTAGAATCTGCTAAGAGATATTTGGGAGCTTATTAAGGCCTGTGCTGGAAAAGGAAACATCTTCAGATATAAACGAGAAAGAATCTTTCTGAGAAACTGCTTTGGGGTGTGTGCATTCATCTCACAGTGTTAAACCTTTCTTTGGATACAGCAGTGTGGAAACACTCTTTTTGTCCATTCTGTGAATGGACATTTTGGAGCTTATTGAAGCCAACAGTGAAAAAGTGAATATCCCAGGATAAAAACTTGAAGGAAGCTATCTGAGAAATCGCTGTGTGATATGTGCATTCATCTCACAGAGTTAAAGCTCTCTTTTAATTCAGCAGTTTGGAAACACTGTTTTTGTAGAATCTGTGAAGGGCTATTTGGGAGCCCTTTGGGGCCAATGGTGAAAAAGGAAAAATCTTCAGATAAAAAGTGGAAAGAAGTTTTCTGAGAAACTGCTTTGTGATGTGTGCATTCATCTCACAGAGTTAAAACTTTCGTTGGATTCAGGAGTTTGGAAACACTGTTTTTATCCATTCTACAAATGGACATTTGGGAACTCATGGAGGCCAATGGCAAAATGGCAAATATCCCAGGATAAAAACTAGAAGGAAGCTATCTGAGAAACCGCTTTGGTATGTGTACATTCGTCTCACAGAGTGAAAACTTTCTTTTCATTCAGCAGTTTGGAAACACTGTCTTAATCCATTCTGCGAATGGACATTTTGGAGCTCATTGAGGCCAATGGTGAAAAACAGAATATTTCAGGTTAAAAACTAGATGGACCCACTCTGAGAAAACTCTTTGTGAAGTGTGCATTCATCTTGTAGACTTAAAGTTTTCTTTTCAGTCAGCAGTTTGAAAACAAGTTTTGTCGTATCTGGGAAGGGATATTTGGGATCACATTGAGGCCTAAGGTGAAAAATGAAACATCTTTAGATAAAAACTAGAAAGAAGGTTTCTGAGAAACTGCGTCCTGATGTGTGCATTCATCTCAAAGAGTTAAATCTTTCTTTGGATTCATCAGTTTGGAAACACGCTTTTAGTCCACTCTGCGGATGGTCATTTTGGAGCTCATTGAGGACAAAGGCGAAAAAACGAATATCCCATAATAAAAACGAGAAGGATGCAATCTGAGAAACCAGTTTGTGAGATGTTTATTCATCTCACATAATTAAACTTTTCTTTCCAATCAGGAGTTTGGAAATGCTGTTTTTGTAGAAGCTGTGAAGGGATATTTGGGAGTGCATTGAGGCTTATGTTGAACAATGGAACGTCTTCTGACAAAAATTAGAAAGAAGCTTTCTAGAAACTGGTTTGTAATGTGTCCATTCATCTCACAGAGTTAAAACTTTCTTTGGATTCAGCAGTTTGGGAACACTATTTTTGTCCATTCTGTGAATGGATATTTGGGAGCTCTTTGAGGCCAAAGTCAAATAAGCAAATATCCCAGGATAAAAACTATAAGGAAGCAATCTGAGGAACTGCTTTGTTTTGTGTGCATTTATCTCACAGAGTTAAACTTTCTTTTCATTCAGCAGTTTGGAAACACAGTTTTCCTAGAATCTGCAAAGGTGTATTAGGAGCGCATTGAGGTCTACAGTGAAAAAGGAAATATATTGAGATAAAAACTTGAAAGAAGCTTTCTGAGAAACTGCTTTATCATGTGTGCATTTTTCTCACAAACTTGAACGTTTGTTTGGATTCATCAGTTTGGAGACACTGTTTTTGTCCACTATGTGAATGGCCATTTGAGGACAATTGCCAGAAAGGGAATATCTCAGGATGAAAACTAGAAGGATGTTACCTGAGAAACTGCTTTTTCTTGTGTCCATCATCTAGCAGAGTTAAAAGTCTGGAAACACTTTTCTTGAAGAAACTGTATACAGATATTTGAGAGAAATTCGAAGCATATGGTGAAAAGGAAAATATCTTCAGATAAAAAGTGGAATGAAGATTTCTCAGAAAATGCTTTGTGATGTGTGAGTTCATCTCATAGAGTTTAACCTTTCTTTTGATTCAGCAGTTTGGAAAAACTGTATTTGTCCATTCCGCAAATGGACATTTCAGAGCTTATTGAGGAGAATGATGAAAAAATATTTTTCTCAGGATAAAAACTAGAAGAAAGCTATCTGAGAAACTGCTTTTTGATGTGTGGATTCGTCTCACAGAGTTAAACATTTCTTTTCATTCAGCTGTTTGGAATCACCGTTTTTGTAGAATCTTCAAAAGGAGATTTGGGAATGCATAAGGCCTAGGGTGAAAAGGAAACATCTTCAGATAAAAAAAAGAAGGAAGCTCTCTGAGAACTGCTTTGTGATGTGTGCATACATCTAACTGATCTAAACCTTTCTTGAATTGAGCAGTTTGGAAACACTGTTTTTTTCCATTCTGTGAATGGACATTTGGGAGCTGATTGAGCCCAATGGAAAAAAGTGAATATTCCAAGATAAAAACTAGAAGGACGCTATCTCTGAACCTGATTTGTGATGTGTGCATTCTCTCACAGAGTTAAACCTGTATTTTGATTCAGCCATTTGGAAACACTGTTTTTCTAGAACATGCAAAGAGATATTCGGGGGTGCACTGTGGCCTACAGTGAAAAGGGAAATACCTTCAGATAAAAACTAGAAAGAAGCTTTCTGAGAAACTGCTTTCTTATGTGTGCATTCATCTCACAGTGTTAAAAGTTTTTTTGGGTTCAGCAGTTTGGAAACACTGTTTTTGTCCATTCTGCCAGTTGACATGTCAGAGCTCATTGAGGCCAATGGTGAAAAAGGGTATATCCCAGGATAAAAACTAGAAGGAAAGTATCTGAGATACTGGCTTTTGATGTGTGCATTAATCTCACAGGGTTAAAACTTTCTCTTCATTCAGCAGTCTGGAAAAACTGTTTTTGAAAAATCTGCACAGGGATAATTGGGAGCAATTTGAAACCTAAGGTGAGAAAGAAAATAATTTCAGATAAAAACTAGGAAGTAGTTTTCTGAGAAACAGCTTTGTTATATGTGCATTCAACTCACAGCATTTAACCTTTCTTTTGATTCAGCAGTTTAGAAACACTGTTTTTCTCCATTATGAGAATGGACATTTTGGGGTTTTGAGGCCAATTTCAAAAAAGTGATTATCACAGGATAAAAACTAGAAGGAAGCTATCTGAGAAACTGCTTTGTGATGTGCACATTCATCTCACAGAGTTAAATTTTCTTTTCATTCAGCAGTTTGGAATCACTGTTTTTGTAGAATCTGTGAAGGGATATTTGGGAGTGCATTGAGGCCTATGGTATAAAAGGAAACATCTTCAGATAAAAACAAGAAAAAATCTCTCTGAGAAACTGCTTTGTGATGTATGCATACATCTCACTGAGTTGAACATTCCTTTGGATTCACCAGTTTGGAAACACTGTTTTTGTCCATTATATGAATTGATATTTGTGAGTTCATTGAGGCCAATGGCAAAAAAGCAAATAATGTAGGATAAAAATTAGATGCTATCTCTGAAAACACTTTGTGATGTGTGTATTCATCTCAAAGAGTTAAACCTGTCTTTTCTTTCAGGAATTTAGAAAAATGTTCTTTTAGGATCTGTGGAGGTACATTTTGGAGAGTATTGAGGCTCACGGTGAAAAAGGAAACATCTCCAGATAAAAACTAGAAAGGTTTCTGAGAAACAGCTTTGTGATGTGTGCATTCATCTCACAGAATTAAAACATTCTTTTGATTCAAAAGTTTGGAAACACTGTTTTTGTCCATTCTGTAAATGGACATTTGGAAGCTCATTGAGGCCAAAAGTAAAAACAATACATCTCAGGTTAAAAACTAGAAGGATGCTATCTGAGAAATTGCTATGTGATGTGTTCACTCACCTCACAGAGTAAAACCTTTCTTTTCATTTGGTAGTTTGGAGAAACTGTTTATTTAGAATCTATGAAGGGATATTTGGGAGCACATTGAGCCCTATGATGAAGCTATCTTAGAAACCAATTTGTAATGTGTGCATACATCCCGCAGAGTTAAAAATTTATTTTCATTGAGAATTTTGGAAGCTCTGTTTTGGAGAATCTGCAAAGGGATATATGGGAGTGCATTGAGGCATATGTTGAGAAAGGAAACATCTTCTGTTAAAACCTAAATAGAGCTAGTGGAGGAGGAGCCAAGATGGCTGAATAGGAACAGCTCCTGTCTATAGCTCCCAGCGTGAGTGACTCAGAAGACGGGTGATTTCTGCATTTCCATCTGAGGTACCGGGTTCATCTCACTAGGGAATGCCAGACAGTGGGCGCAGGTCGGTAGGTGCATGCACCAAGTGCAAGCTGAAGCAGGGTGAGGCATGGCCTCATGCGGGAAGTGCAAGGGGTCAAGGAGTTCCCTTTCCTAGCCAAAGAAAGGGGAACCAGGAGATTATATTCCGCACCGGGCTCGGAGGGTCCTATGTCCACGGAGTCTCACTGATTGCTAGCACAGCAGCCTGAGATCAAACTGCAAGGTGGCAGCGAGGCTGGGGGAGGGGTGCCCGCCATTGCCCAGGCTTGCTTAGGTAAACAAAGTAGGCAGGAAGCTCGAACTGAGTGGAGACCACCACAGCTCAAGGAGGCCTGCCTGCCTCTGTAGGCTCCACATTTGGAGGCAGGGCACAGACAAACAAAAAGACAGCAGTAACCTCTGCAGACTTAAATGTCCCTGTCTGACAGCTGTGAAAAGAGCAGTGGTTCTCCCAGCATGAAGCTGGAGATCTGAGAATAGGTAGAATGCCTCCTCAAGTGGGTCCCTGACCCCTGACCCCCGAGCAGCCTAACTGGGAGGCACCACTACAGCAGTGGCAGACTGACACCTCACAGGGCCGAGTACTCCAACAGACCTGCAGCTGAGGGTCCTGTCTGTTAGAAGGAAAACTAACAAACAGAAAGGACATCCACACTAAAAACCCATCTATACATCACCATCATCAAAGACCAAAAGTAGATAAAGCCACAAAGATGGGGAAAAAACAGAGCAGAAAAACTGGAAACTCTAAAAAGCAGAGCGCCTCTCCTCCTCCAAAGGAACACAGTTCCTCACTAGCAACGGAACAAAGCTGGACGGAAAATGACTTTGACGAGCTGAGAGAAGAAGGCTTCAGATGATCAAATTACTCCGAGCTATGGGAAGACACTCAAACCAAAGACAAAGAAGTTGAAAACTTTCAAAAAAATTTAGAAGAATGTATAACTAGAATAACCAATACAGAGAAGTGCTTAAAAGAGCTGATGGAGCTGAAAACCAAGGCTTGAGAACTACGTGAAGAATGCAGAAGACTCAGGAGCTGATGCGATCAACTGGAAGAAAGGGTATCAGCGAAGGAAGATGAAATGAATGAAATGAAGTGAGAACTGAAGTTTAGAGAAAAAAGAATAATAAGAAATGAGCAAAGCCTCCTAGAAACATGGGACTATGTGAAAAGACCAAATCTACGTCTGATTGGTGTACCGGAAAGTGACGGGGAGAATGGAACCAAGTTGGAAAACACTCTGCAGGATATTATCCAGAAGAACTTCCCCAATCTAGCAAGGCAGACCAACATTCAGATTCAGGAAATACAGAGAATGCCACAAAGATACTCCTCGAGAAGAGCAACTCCAAGACACATAATTGTCAGATTCACCAAAGTTGAAATGCAGGAAAAAATGCTAAGGGCAGCCAGAAAGAAAGGTCGGGTTACCCTCAAAGGGAAGCCCATCAGACTAACAGCAGATCTTTTGGCAGAAACTCTACAAGCCAGAAGACAGTGGGGACAAATATTCAACATTCTTAAAGAAAAGAGTTTTCAAACCAGAATTTCATATCTAGCCAAACTAAACTTCATAAGTGAAGGAGAAATAAAATACTTTACAGACAAGCAAATGCTGAGAGATTTTGTCACCACCAGGCCTGCCCTAAAAGAGCTCCTGAAGGAAGCACTAAACATGGAAAGGAACAACCGGTACCAGCCGTGGCAAAATCATGCCAAAATGTAAAGACCATCGAGACTAGGAAGAAACTGCATCAACCAATGAGCAAAATAACCAGTTAACATCATAATGACAGGATCAAATTCACACATAACAATATTAATTTTAAATGTAAATGGACTAAATGCTCCAATTAAAAGACACAGACTGGTAAATTGGATAAAGGGTCAAGACACATCAGCGTGCTGTATTCAGGAAACCCATCTCACGTGCAGAGACACACATAGGCTCAAAATAAAAGGATGGAGCAAGATCTACCAAGCAAATGGAAAACAAAAAAAGGTGGAGGTTGCAATCCTAGTCTCTGATAAAACAGACTTTAAACCAACAAAGATCAAAAGAGACAAAGAAGGCCATTACATAATGGTAAAGGGATCAATTCAACAAGAAGAGCCAACTATCCTAAATATATATGCACCCAATACAGGAGCACCTAGATTCATAAAGCAAGTCCTGAGTGACCTACAAAGAGGCTTAGACTCTCACACATTAAGAATGGGAGACTTTAACACCCCATTGTCAACATTAGACAGATCAATGAGACAGAAAGTCAACAATGATACCCAGGAATTGAACTCAGCTCTGCACCAAGCGGACCTAATAGACATCTACAGAACTCTCCACCCCAAATCAACAGAATATACATTTTTTCAACACCACACCACACCTATTCCAAAATTGACCACATAATTGGAAGTAGAGCTCTCCTCAGCAAATGTAGAAGAATAGAAATTATAACAAACTATCTCTCAGACCACAGTGCAATCAAACTAGAACTCAGGATTAAGAATCTCACTCAAAACCGCTGAACTACATGGAAACTGAACAACCTGCTCCTAAATGACTACTGGGTACATAATGAAATGAAGGCAGAAATAAAGATGTTCTTTGAAACCAACGAGAACAAAGACACAACATATGAGAATCTCTGGGACTAATTCAAAGCAGTGTGTAGAGGGAAATTTATAGCACTAAATGACCGCAAGAGAAAGCAGGAAAGATCCAAAATTGACACCCTAACATCACAATTAAAAGAACTAGGAAAGCAAGAGCAAACACATTCAAAAGCTAGCAGAAGGCCAGAAATAACTAAAATCAGAGCAGAACTGAAGGAAACAGAGACACAAAAAACCCTTCAAAAATTAATGAATCCAGGAGCTGGTTTTCTGAAAGGATCAACAAAATTGATAGACCACTAGCAAGACTAATAAAGAAAAAAAGAGAGAAGAATCAAATAGATGCAATAAAAAATGATAAAGGGGATATCACCACCGATCCCACAGAAATACAAACTACCATCAGAGAATACTACAAACACCTCTATGCAAGTAAACTAGAAAATCTAGAAGAAATGGATAAATTCCTCGACACGTACACCCTCCCAAGACTAAACCAGGAAGAATTTGAATCTCTGAATAGACCAATAACAGGATCTGAAATTGCCGCAATAATCAGGAGCTTACCAACCAAAAAGAGACCAGGACCAGATGGATTCACTGCCGAATTCTAACAGAGGTACAAGGAGGAACTGGTACCATTCCTTCTGAAACTATTCCAATCAGTAGAGAAAGAGGGAATCCTCCCTAACTCATTTTATGAGGCCGGCATCATCCTGATACCAAAGCCCCGCAGAGACACAACCAAAAAAGAGAATTTTAGACCAATATCCTTGATGAACATTGATGCAAAAATCCTCAATAAAATACTGGCAAACCGAATCCAGCAACACATCAAAAAGCTGACCCACGATGATCAAGTGGGCTTCATCCCTGGGATGCAAGGCTGGTTCAATATACGCAAATCAATAAATGTAAGCCAGCATATAAACAGAACCAAAGACAAAAACCACATGATTATCTCAATAGATGCAGAAAGGCCTTTGAAAAATTCAACAACCCTTCATGCTAAAAACTCTCAATAAATTAGGTATTGATGGGACATATTTAAAAATAATAAGAGCTATCTATGACAAACCCACAGCCAATATCATACTGAATGGGCAAAAACTGGAAGCATTCCCTTTGAAAACTGGCACAAGACAGGGATGCCATCTCTCACCACTCCTATTCAACATAGTGTTGGAAGTTCTGGCCGGGGCAATTAGGCAGGAGAAGGAAATAAAGGGTATTTGAATAGGAAAAGAGGAAGTCAAATTGTCCCTGTTTGCAGACGACATGATTGTATAACTAGAAAACCCCATTGTCTCAGCCCAAAATCTCCTTAAGCTGATAAGCAACTTCAGCAAAGTCTCAGGATACAAAATCAATGTACAAAAATCACAAGCATTCTTATACACCAACAACAGACAAACAGAGAGCCAAATCATGAGTGAACTCCCATTCATAATTGCTTCAAAGAGAATAAAATACCTAGGAATACAACTTACAAGGGATGTGAATGACCTCTTCAAGGAGAACAACAAACCATTGCTCAATGAAATAAAAGAGGATACAAACAAATGGAAGAATATTCTATGCTCCTGGGTAGGAAGAATCAATATCGTGAAAATGGCCATACTGCCCAAGGTAATTTACAGATTCAATGCCATCCCCATCAAGCTACCAATGACTTTCTTCATAGAATTGGAAAAAACTACTTTAAAGTTCATATGGAACCAAAAAAGAGCATGCATCTCCAAGTCAATCCTAATCCAAAAGAACAAAGCTGGAGGCATCACACTACCTGACTTCAAACTATACTACAAGGCTACAGTAACGAAAACAGCATGGTACTGGTACCAAAACAGAGATATAGATCAATGGAACAGAACAGAGCCCTCAGAAATATTGCCACATATCTACAACTATCTGATCTTTGACAAACCTGAGAAAAACAAGCAATGGGGAAAGGATTCCTTATTTAATAAATGGTGCTGGGAAAACTGGCTAGCCATATTTAGAAAGCTGAAACTGGATCCCTTTCTTACACCTTATACAAAAATCAATTCAAGATGGATTAAAGACTTAAACGTTAGACCTAAAACCATAAAAACCATAGAAGGAAACCTAGGCATTACCATTCAGGACATAGGCATGGGCAAGGACTTCATGTCTAAAACACCAAAAGCAATGGCAACAAAAACCAAAATTGACAAATGGGATCTAATTAAACTCAAGAGCTTCTGCACAGCAAAAGAAACTACCATCAGAGTGAACAGGCAACCTAAAAAATGGGAGAAAATTTTCGCTACCTACTCATCTGACAAAGGGCTAATATCCAGAATCTACAATGAACTCAAACACATTTACAGGAAAAAAACAAACAACCCCATCAAAAAGTGGGTGAAGGACATGAACAGACACTTCTCAAAAGAAGACATTTATGCAGTTAAAAAACACATGAAAAAATGCTCACCATCACTGGCCATCAGAGAAATGCAAATCAAAACCACAATGAGATACCATCTCACACCAGTTAGAATGGCAATCATTAAAAAGTCAGGAAACAGCAGGTGCTGGAGAGGATGTGGAGAAATAGGAACACTTTTACACTGTTGGTGGAACTGTAAACTAGTTCACCCACTGTGGAAGTCAGTGTGGCGATTCCTCAGGGATCTAGAACTAGAAATACCATTTGACCCAGCCATCCCATTTGTGGGTATATACCCAAATGAATATAAATCATGCTGCTATAAAGACACATGCACACGTATGTTTATTGTGGCATTATTCACAATAGCAAAGAATTGGAACTAACCCAAATGTCCAACAATGATAGACTGGATTAAGAAAATGTGGCACATATACACCATGGAATACTATGCAGCCATAAAAAAGGATGAGTTCATGTCCTTTTAAGGACATGGATGAAATTGGAAATCATCATTCTCAGTAAACTATCACAAGAACAAAAAACCAAACACTGCATATTCTCACTCATAGGTGGGAATTGAACAATGAGAACACA
Organism: Homo sapiens; assembly: GCF_000001405.40. Taxonomy (NCBI): domain Eukaryota; kingdom Metazoa; phylum Chordata; class Mammalia; order Primates; family Hominidae; genus Homo; species Homo sapiens. The sequence goes on from NC_000010.11 coordinate 41,755,155, forward strand.
TGGACACAGGAAGGGGAACATCACACTCTGGGGACTGTTGTGGCATGGGGGGAGGGGGGGAGGGATGGCATTGGGAGATATACCTAATATGATATGACAAGTTAGTGGGTGCAGTGCACCAGCATGGGACATGTATACATATGTAACTAACCTTGCACATTGTGCACATGTACCCTAAAACTTAAAGTATAATAAAAAAAATTAAATAGAAGCTTTCTGAGAAACTGCTTTGTGATGTGTGCATTTATCTCACAGAGGTAAAACTTTGTTTGGATTTAGCAGTGTGGAAAAACTGTTTTTGTCCATTCTGCTAATGGACATTTGGGAGTTCATTGAGGCCAATGGTGAAAAGGTGAATATCCCAGGATAAAACTAGAAGGAAGCTATCTGAGATATCACTTTGTGATTTGTGCATTCATCTCGCAGAGTTAAACTTTACTTTTCATTCAGTAGTTTGGAAACACTGTTTTTATAGTATCTGTGAAGTGATATTTTGGAGTGCATTGAGGCCTCTTTTTAAAATGGGAATTTCTTCAGATAAAATCCAGAAGGCTTTCTGAGAAACTGCTTTGTGATGTGTGCATTCATCTCACAGATTTAAACCTTTCTTTAGATTCAAAAATATGGAAACACAATTTTGTCCATTCTGCGAATGGACATTTCAGAGCTCATTGAGGCCAATGATGAAAAAGTGACTACCCCACGATAAAAAATAGAAGGAAGGTATCTGAGAAAATGCTTTGTGATGTGGGTATTTATCTCACAGAGTTAAAACTTTCTTTTCATTCAGCTGTTTGGAAACTCTGGTTTTGTAGAATCTGCAAAGTGATATTTGGGAGTGCTTTGAGGCCTACGGTGAAAAAGGAAACATTTTCAGGTAAAAATTAGAAAGAAGCTTCCTGAGAAACTGCTTTGTGCTGTGTGCATTCATCTCACAGAGTTAAAGATTGCTTTTGGTTCAGGAGTTTGGAAACACCTGTTTTTGTTCATTCTGCTAATACATATTTGGGAGCTCTTTGAAGCCAATTGTGAAAATGTGAATATCCCAGGATAAAAATTAGAAGGAAGCCGTCTGAGAAACCACTTTGTTAAGTGTGCATTCACCTCACAGAGTTAAGCCTTTCTTTTCATTCAGCAGTTTGGAAACACTGTTTTTGTAGAATCTGTGAAAGAATATTTGGGAGTGTATTGAGGCTTATGGTGAATAAGGAAACATCTTCAGATAAAAAATAGAAAGAAGGTTTCTGAGAATATGCTTTGTGATGTGTGCATTCATCTCACAGTGTTGAATCTTTCTTTTACTCTGCAGTTTGAGAATAGTCTTCTTGTCCATTCTAGGATACAGATTTGGGAGCTCATGAGGGCCATTGTGAAAAATCAAATAACAAAGAATAAAAACCAGAAGGAAGCTATTGGAGAAACTGCTTTGTGATGTGTGCATTCATTTCGCATAGTTAATTCTTTCTTTTAATTCAGCAGTTTGGAAACACTGTTTTTGTAGAATCTGTGAAGGGATATTTAGGAGCACATTGAGTCCTATGATCAACCTATCTGGGAAGCTGCTTTGTGATGTGTGGATACATCCAGCAAATATAAACATTACATTTCACTGAACTGTTTGGAAACACTGTTTTTGGGGAATCTGCAAAGGGATATTTGGGAGTGCATTGAGGCCTATGGTAAGAAAGGAAATATCTTCAGATAAAAACTGGAAAGAAGGCTTCTGAGAAACTGCTTTGTGATGTGTGCATTCATCTCACTGAGTTAAACATTTGCTTGGATTTAGCCTTTGGAAAGCTTGTTTTTTTCTACTCTAGGAATGGACGTCTGTGAGCTCATTGAATCCAATGGTGAGAAAGCAAATATCCAAGGATAAAACTAGAAGGAAGCTGTCTGAGAAACTGCTTTGTAACGTGTGCATTCAACTAGCAGAAATGATAATTGATTTTCATTCAGCAGTTTGGAAACACTCTTTTGTACAATCTGCCAAGGGATATTTTGTTGTGCTGTGAGGTCTATGGTGAAAAAGAAAACATATTCAGATAAAAACTAGAAAGAAGCTTTCTGAGAAACTGCTTTGTGACGTTTGCATTCATCTAACAGAGGTAAGCCTTTCTTTCGACTCAGCAGTTTGAAAACTCTGTTTCTGTCCAAATTGCGAATGCACATTTGGGAGTTCATTGAGGCCAATGGCAAAAAACCAAATATCGCAGGATACAAACTAGAAGGAAGCAATATGATAAAAGTCTCTGTGATGTGTGCATTCATCTCACAGAGTTAAACCTTTGTTTTCATTCAGCAGTTTGGGAACTGTTTTTGTAAAATCTGCAAATGGATATTTTGAAGTGCATTGAAGGCTACGGTGAAAAAGGAAATATCTTCAATAAAAACTATGAACTAGCATTCTGGGAGACTGCTTTGTGATATGTACATTCATCTCACAGAGTTTAAACTTCTCATTGGAATCTGCAATTTGGAAATACAGTTTTTGTAAATTCTGTGATTGAACACTTGAGAGCTCGTTGAGGCCAATGGTGAAAGAGCGAATATCCCAGGATAAAAACTACAAGGAAGCTATCTGAGAAACCGCTACATGATGTGTGCATTTATCACACACAGTTAAATCTTTCTTTTCCTTCAGCAGTTTGGAAACACAGTTTTAGAAGTATCTGCGAACGGGGATGCCTAAGTTGAGAAAGGAAACATCTTCAGATAAAAACTAGAAAGAAGTTTTCTTAAATCTGCTTTGTGATGTGTTCATTCATCTCACAGAGTTAAACATTTTTTGCATTCGGCAGTTTAGAAACCCTGTTTGTGTCCATTGTGTGAAGGGACATTTGGGAGCTCATTGACGGTGTTGCAGAAAAGTGAATATCCAAGGATAAAAATTAGAAGGAATCTCTCTGAGAAACTACATTGTGATGTGTGCATTCATCACGCCGAGTTAAACTTTTCTTTGGATTCAGCCATTTGGAAACACCGTTTTTGTCCATTCTGTGAATGGATATTTGGGAGCTCATTGAGAACAATGGTGAAAAAGTGAATATCCCAGCATAAAAACTAGAAGGAAGCTATCTGAGAAAAAGCTTTGTGATGTGTGCATTCATCACGCAGAGTTAAAACTTTCTTTTCATTCAGCAGATTAGAAACACTCTTTCTGTAGAATCTGCAAAGGGATATTTGAGAGTGCATTGAGGACTATGGTGAAAAAGGAAATATCTTCAGATAAAAACTAGAAAGAAACTCCCTTAGAAACAGCTTTGTGATATATGCATTCATCTCACAAACTTAAAGCATTTTTTGCATTCTGCCCTTTGGAAACACAGTTTTTGTCCATTCTGCACATGGACATTTGGGAGAACTTTGGGGCCAATGGTGAAAAAGGTAATATGGCAAGATGAAAACTAGAAGGAAGATATCTGAGAAACCATTCTGTGATGTGTACATTCATTTCTCAGTGTTAAACTTTGCTTTTTAATCAGCTGTTTGGAAACACTGTGTTTGTCCGTTCTGAGAATGGACATTTGGGATCTCATTGAGAACAGTGGCGAAAAAGCAAATATCCCAGGATAAAAACTAGAAGGAAGCTATCCGAGGGACCTCTTTATGATGTGTGCATTCATCTCACAGACTTAAGCCTTTCTTTTCATTCAACAGTTTTGAACACTGGTTTTGTAGAGTCTAAGAAGTGATATTTTGGAGCACATTGATGCCTATGTTGAAAAAAGAAAAATCTTCAGATAAAAACAAGAAAGAATATTTCTGAGAAACTGCTTTGTGATGTGTGTATTCATCTCCAAGAATTAACCCTTTCTAAGGGTTCTACAGTTTGGAAACACCCTTTTTGTCCATTCTGTGATTGGATATTTGGAGGTCGTGGAGGCCAATGGTGAAAAAGTGAATATCCCAGGATAAAAACTAGAAGGAAACACTCTGAGAAACTGCTATGTGATGAGTGCATTCATCTCGCAGATATAAAACATTCTTTTCATTCAGCAGATTGGAAACACCGTTTTGGTAGAATCTGCAAAGGGATGTTCCAGAGAACATTGAGGCGTATGCTGAAAAAAGAAACATCATCCGATAAAAACTAGAAAGAAGCTTTCTGAGAAACCACTATGTGATGCATGCATTCATCTCTCAGAGTTAAACTTTTATTTGGATTCACCACTATGGAAACAATGTTTTTTTCCATTCTGCAAGTGGACATTTTGAACACATTGAGGCCAATGGTGAAATAGCAAATATCCCAAAATAAAAAATAGAAGGAGGCTATCTGGAAAATCACTTTGTGATGTCTGAATTCATCTCACAGAGTTAAACCTTTCTTTTCAGTAAGCAGTTTGGAAACACTGTTTTTGTAGAATCTGCAAAGGGATACTTCAGAGAGCATTGAGGCCTATGGTGAAAAAGGAAACATCTTCAGAAAAAAACTAGAAAGAAGCCTTCTGAGAAACCGCCTTGTGATGTGTGCATTCAACTCACAGAGTTAAACTTTTCTTTGGATTCAATAGTTTGGAAAGAGTGTTTTTGTCCATCCTGCAAATGGACATTTCAGTGCTCATTGAAGCCAATGGCAAAAAAGTGAGTATCCCAGTGAAAAACCTAGAACAAAGACATCTCAGGAACCACTTTGTGATGTGTGCATTCATCTCGCAGAGTTAAACCCTTCTTTTCATTCAGCAATTTGGAAACACTGTTTTTGTAGAAACTGTGAAAGGGTATTTAGGAGCCCATTGAGAACTATGGTGAAAAAGGAAACATCTTCACACAAAAACTAGAAAGAAGCTTTCTGGCAAACTGCTTTGTGATATGTGCATTCATCTCACAGTAAACCCTGTCTTTGGATTCTGCGGGTTGGAAACACTTTTTTTGTCCATTTTGCAAGTGGACATTTGGAAGCTCAGTGAGGCCAAGTTTGAAAAAACGAATATCCAAGGATAAAAAGTGGAAGGAAGCCATCTGAGAAACTGCTTTGTGATTTGTGCATTATTCTGGCAGAGTTAAACCTTTCTCTTCATTTGGAAGTTTGGAAAACTTGTTTTTGTAGAATCTACAAAGGGATAATTCGGAGCACTTTGAGGCATATGGTGACAAAGGAAACATTTTCAGATAAAAACTATAAAGAAGCTTCCTGAGTAACTGCTTTTTGATGTGTGCATTCATCTCACAGATTTAAACCTTTCTGTGGATTCAGCAGTTTGGAAACACTTTTTTATGTCCATTCTGCAAATGGACTTCTGGGAGTTCATTCACTCCAATGGTGAAAGAGTGAATACCCCAGGATAAAAGCTAAAAGGAAGCTATCTGAGAAACCACTTTGTGATGTGTGGATTCAACTTGCAGACTTGAAAATTTCTTTTCATTAAGCAGTTTAGAATCACTGTTTTTGTAGAATCTGAGAAGGCATACTTGCAAGTGCAATGTGGCCTATGGTGAAGAAATATTTTCAGATAAAAACAAGAAAGAAGCTTTCTGAGAAACTGCTCTGTGATGTGTGCAAACATCTCACAGTTAAACATTTCTTTGGATTCTGCAGTTTGGAAACACTGTTTTTATGTATTCTGCAAATGGGAATTTGGGAACTCATTGAGACCAATGGCAAAAAAGGGAATATCCCAGGAAAAAAACTACAAGGAAGCTATCTGGAAATCACTTTGTGATGTGTGTATTCACTTCGAAAACTTAAACTTTTCTATTCATTCAGCAGTTTGGAAACACTGTTTTTGTAGAATCTGTGAAGGGATATTTAGGAGTGCATTGAGGCCTATGGTGAAAAAAGAAACATCTTCAGATAAAAAATAGAAAGAAGCTTTCTGAGAAATTGCTTTGTGATGTGTGCATTCATCTCACAGAATTAAACTTTTCTTTGGATTCAGTAGATTGTAAACACTGTTTTTGTCCATTCTGTGAATGGAAATTTGGGAGCTCATAGAGGCCATGGCAAAAAAGTGAACATCCCAGGATTAAAACTACATGGAATATATCTGAGAAACCAGTTTAGTTTGAGTGCATTCACCTTGCAGAGTTAAAACGTTCTTTTCATTCAACAGTTTGGAAACAGTGTTTTTGTAGGATCTGCAAATGGATATTTGGGACTACATTGGGGCTTTGCTGAAAAGGGAAACATCTTCCGATAAAAACTAGAAAGAAGCTCTCTGAGAAACTGCTTTGAGATATGTGCATTGTTCTCACAAAATGAAACTTTTCAATGGACTCAGCAGTTGGGAAACACTGTTTTTGTCCATTCTGGGGATGGTCATTTGGGAGCTCATTGCAGCCAATGGGGAAAAGTGAATATCCCTGGATAAAACCTAGAATGAATCTATATGAGAAACTGCTATGGGATGTGTGCATTCACCTCACAGAATTAAAACTTCCTTTTCCCTCAGCAGTTTGGAAACACTTTTTTTGTAGTATCTGCAAAGGGATATTTCGGAGAGCAGTGAGACCTATGTAAAAAAAGAAACATTTTCAGATAAAAACTAGAAAGAAGCATTCTGAGAAAATGCTTGGTGATGTGTGCTTTCATCTCACAGAGATGAACCTTTCTTTGGATTCAGTAGTTGGTAAAGAGTGTTTTTGTCAATTCTGCGAATGGATGTTTGTGAGTTCATTGAGGTGAATGGCAAAAAAGCACATATTCCAGGATAAAAATTAGAAGGAAGCTATCTAAGAACATTGCTTTATGATGTGTGCATTCATCTCGCAGAGATAAAGCTTTTTTGGATTCAGTAGTTTGGAAACACTGTTTTTGTCCATTCTGTGAATGGACATTTTGGAGCTCATTGAGGCCAACGTCAAAAAATCGAATATACTAAGATAAAAACTAGAAAAAAGCAATCTGACAAACAACTTTGTGATGTGTGCATTCTTCTGACAGAATTAAAACTTCACATTCATTCAGCAGTTTGAAAGCACTGTTTTGTAGAAAATGCAATTGGATATTCCAGAGTGCATTGAGGCCTTCAGTATAAAAGGAAACATCTTCAGATAAAAACTAGAAAGAAGCTTTCTGAGAAACTGCTTTGTGATGTGTGCATTCATCTCACAGATTTAAACGTTTCTTTGGATTCAGTGGTTTGGAAAGAGTGTTTTTGTCCATTCTGTGAATGGACATTTGGGAGTTAATCGTGGTAAATGGCAAAAAAGTGAATATCCTAGGATAAAAGCTAGATAGAAGCTGCCTGAGAATCTGTTATTTGATGTGTGCATTCATCTCACATACTTAAACCTTTCTTTTCTTTCACCAGTTTTTAAACACTGTTTTTGTAGAATTTGTAAAGGGATATGTGGAGAGAACTGAAGCCTATGGTGAAAAAGGAAACATCTTCAGATAAAAACTAGAAAGGAGCTTTCTGAGAAATTGCTTTGTGACGTGTGCATTCATCTAATGGAGTTAAACCTTTCTTTTCATTCAACAGATAGTGAACAGTGTTTTGGTAGAATCTGCAAAGGGATATTTTGGAGAGCAATGAGGCCTATGGTGAAATAGGACCCATCCTCAGATGAAAACCAGAAAGAAGCTTTCTGAGAAACTACTTTGTGATGTGTGCATTCATCTCAGAGAGTTAAACCTTTCTGTCAATTCAGCAGTTTGGACAAACTGTTTTTGTCCATTCTGCAAATGGATATTTTGGAGCTCATTGAGACCAAAGGCAAAAAAGTGAATATCCCAGGATGAAAACTTGAAGGAAGATTTCTGAGAAACCACCTTGTGATGCGTGCACTCATCTCAGAGAATTAGACCTTTCGTTGGATTCAGTAGTTTGGATAGAGTGTTTCTGTCCATTCTGAGAATGGACATTTGGGAGTTCATTGAGGCCAATGGGGAACAAGAGATTATCCCAGGATAAAATCTAAATGGAAGCTATCTGAGAAACTGCTATGTGATGTTTGCATTCATCCACAGAGATAAACTTTTCCTTTCATTCAGCAGTTTGGAAACACTGTTTTGTAAAACCTGCGAAGGGTTATTTTGGAGAGTATTGAGGCCTATGGTGAAAAGGGAAAAATCTTCAGATAAAAATTAGAACAAATATTTCTGAGAAACTGCTTTGTGATGTGTGCACTCATCTCACATATTTAAACCTTCCTTTAGATTCTGCATTTTGGAAACACTGTTTTTGTCCATTCTGTGAAGGAATATTTTGGATAGCATTGAAGCCTAGGGTGAAAAAGAAAACATCTTCAGATAAAAACTACAAAGAATCTTTCTGACAAACGGCTTTGTGAAGTGTGCATTCATATCACAGAATTAAACCTTTCATTGGATTCAGTAGTTTGGAGAGAGTGCTTTTGTCCATTCTGCACATGGACATTTGGGAGCTTAGTGAGGCCGATGATGAAAATGCAAATATCACAGGATAAAAACTAGATGCAAGCTATTTGAGAAACTGCTATGTGATGTTTGCATTCATCTAGCAGAGTTAAACCTTTCTTTTCATTCAGCAGTTTGGAAACTCTTTTTTTGTAGAATCTGCAAAGCATTATTTCAGAGAGCATTGCGACTTATGGTGAAAAAGGAAATATCTTAAGATAAAAACTGGAAAGAAACTTACTGAGAAACTGCTTTGTGATGCGTGCATTCATCTCAGAGAGTTAAAACATTCTGTGGATTCGGCAGTTTGGACACACTGTTTTTGTAGATTCTGCAATGGGATCTTTCGGAGAGCAATGAGGCCTATGGTGGAAAAGGAAACACCTTCAGATAAAAACTACAGAGAAGCTTTCTGAGTAACTGCTTTCTGATGTGTGCATTCATCTCATAGACTTAAATTTCTCTTTGGATTCAGTAGTTTGGAAACACAGTTTTTGTCCATTCAGCGAGTGAACATTTGGGAACTCATTGAGGCCAAAGGGGAAAAAGAGAATATCTCAGGATAAAAATTATAAGGAAGCTATCTGAGAAACTGCTTTGTGATCTATGCATTCATCTTACAGAGTTAAACCTTCCCTGTCACTCTGCAATTTGGAAACACTGTTTTTGTAGAATTTGAAAAGGGATATGTTAGAGAGCTTTGAGGCATGTGGGGAAAAAGGAAACATCTTCAGATAAAAACTAAAAAGAAGCTTTCTGAGAAACTGCTTTGTGATGTGTGCATTCTATCTCACAGAGTTAAAACTTTCTTTGGATTCACCAGTTTGGAAACACTGTTTTGTCCACTCAGTGAATGGACATTTGGGAAATCATTGAGCCCAAAGGTGAAAAAGAGAATATCCCAGGATAAAAATTAGAAGGAAGCTATCTGAGAGAACACTTTTTGATGTGTGCATTCACCTCACTGAGTTAAACCTTTGTTTTCTTTCAGCAGTTTGGAAAATTTTTTTGTAGAATCTGCAAGGGATATGTCAGAGAGCATTGAGGCCTATGGTGGAAAGGGAAACATCTTCAGATAAAAACTAGAAAGAACTTTTCTGAGAAACTACATTGTGATGTGTGCATTCATCTCACAGAGATCAACCATTCTTCAGGTTCAGCAGTTTGGGAGCACTGCTCTTGTCCATTCTGCAAATGGACATTTGGGAGCTCATTGAGGTCAATGTCAAAAAAGGGAATATCCCTAGATGAAATGTAGATGGAAGTTATCTAAGAAACTGCTCTGTGAGGTGTGCATTCATCTCACAGAGTTAAACATTTCTTTTCATTCATCATTTTGGAAACACTGTTTATTTTCAAATCTTTAAAAGGATATTTTGGAGAGCATTGTGGCCTACGGTGGAAAAGGAAACATCTTCATATAAAAACCAGAAAGACATTTTCTGAGAAACTGCTTTGTGATCTGTGCATTCATCTCACAGAGTATAACCTTTCTTTGATTAAGCAGTTTGGAAACAATGTTTTTTATCCATTCTGTGAATGGACATTTGGGAGCACATTGAGGCCTGAATATCCTTGGATAAAATCTGGAAGGAAGCTATCTGAGAAACAGATTTGCAATGTGTACGTTCATCTCACAGAGTTAAACGTTTCTTTTCATTCAGCAGTTTGGAATTACTGTTTTTGTAGAATCTGCAAAGGAATATTTTGGAGAGCATTGAGGCCTATGGTGAAATAGGAAACATCTTCAGATTAAAATGAGAAAAAAGCTTTCTGAGAAAATGGTTTTTATTTGTGCATTCATCTCACAGAGTTAAAACGTTCTTTTGATTCAGCAGTTTGGAAACACGGTTTTCTTCCATTATGCGAATGGACATTTGGGAGCTCATTGAGGACAATGGTGAAAAAGCGAATATGCCAGCATAAAAACTAGAAGAAAGCTTTCTGAGGAACTGCTTTGTGATGTGTGCATTCATCTCATGGAGTTAAAGCTTTCTTTTCATATAGCAGTTTGGAAACAGTGTTTTTGTGGAATCTGCAAAGGGATATTTCAGAGAGCATTGAGGCTGATGGTTAACAAGCAAACATCTTCCAATAAAAATACAAAGAAGCTTTCTGAGAAGCTGCTTTGTGATATGTGCATTCACCTCAAAGAGTTAAAGATATCTTTGGATTCAGCAGTTTGGTAACCCTATTTTTGTCCATTCTGTGAATGGACACTGGGGAGCTCATTGAGGCCAATGGTGAAAAAGGAAATAACACAGGATGAAAACTAGGAGGAAGCTATCTGAGAAACTGCTTTGTGATGTTGCATTCATCACACATATTTAAAACTTTCTTTTCATTCAGCAGTTTGGAAACACTCGTTTTGTAGAATCTGCAAAGGGATGTTGCAGAGAGCATTGAGGCTTATTGTGAAAAATGAAACATTTTCAGATAAAAACTAGATAAAATCTTTCTGAGAAACTGCTTTGTGATGTGTGCATTCATCTCACACTGTTAAACCTTTCTTCTGATTCAGCAGTTTGGAAATACTGTTTTTTTCCATTTTGCGAATAAACATTTGAGAGCTCCTTGAGGTTAATGGCAAAAAAGCGAATATCCCAAGATAAATTCTAGAAGAAAGGTATCTGAGTAACAGCTTTGTGATGTACATGTTCATCTCACAGAGTTAAACCTTTGTTTTAATTCACCTGTTTGGAAACCTTGTTTTTGTAGAATGTGTGAAGGGATATTTCAGGGAGCATTGAGGCTTAAGGTGAAAAAGAAAACACCTTCAGAGATGTGTGCATTCATCTCACAGATTTAAAACTTTCTTATGATTCAGAAGTTTGGAAATACTGGTTTTGTAGAATCTACAAACGGATATTTCAGAGAGCATTGAGGCCTGTGGTGAAAAATTAAAATTCTACAGATAAAAACTAGAAAGAAGCTTTCTGAGAAACTGCTTTGTGACATGTTCATTCGTCTCACAGTCTTAAAACTTTATTTGGATTCAGCAGTTTGGAAACACTACTTTTTTGCATTCCATGAATGGACATTTTGGAGCTATTGAGGCCAATGGTGAAAAAGCAAATATCCCAGCATAAAAATTAGATGGAAGCTATCCGAGAAATTGTTATGTGTTGTCTGCATTCATCTAGGAGTTCTAAACCTTTTTTTCATTTGACAGTTTGGAAACATTGTTTTTGTAGGATCTACAAAGGCATATTTTGGAGAGCATTGAGGCCTATGGTGAAAAAGGAAACATTTTCAGATAAAAAGTAGAAAGAAGCTTTCTGAGAAACTACTTTGTGTTGTGTGCATTCATCACACAGAGTTAAACCTTTCTTTGGATTCAGTAGTTTGGAAAGAGTGTTTTTGTCCATTCTGTGAGTGGACGTTTGGGAGCTCATTGAGGCCAATAGTGAAAAAGAGAATATCCCAGGATCAAAACTAGATGGAAGCTACCTGAGAAACTGTTATGTGATGTGGGCATTCATCTCACAGGGTTCAACATTTCTTTAATTCATCATTTTTGAAACACTGTTTTTGTCCATTCTGTGAATGGACTTTTGGTAGTTCCTTGAGGCCAATGATGAAAAAGCAAATATCACAGGATAAAAACTAGGAAAAACTTTTATGAGAAACTGTGATGTGATGTGTGCATTCATCCTGCATAGGTGAATGTTTCTTCTCATTCAGCAATTTTGAAATATTGTTTTAGTAGAAACTGTAAAGGGATATTTTGGAGAGCATTGAGATCAACTTTCACAAAGGAAATATCTTCAAATAAAAACTAGAAAAAAGCTTTCAGGGAACCTTCTTTGTGATGTGTGCATTCATCTTACAGAGTTAAAGCTTTCTTTGGATTCAGCAGTTTGAAAACACTGTTTTTGCCCATTCTGCGAATAGACATTTGGGAACTCATTGAGGCCAATGGTGAAAAAGTGAATATCAAAGGAAAACAACTGGAAGGAAGCTATGTGAGAAACTGCATTGTTATGTGGTTATTCATCTCACAGAATTAAAACTTTCTGTTCATTCAGCAGTTTGGAAACACTGATTTTGTAGAATCTGCAAAGGGATATTTTGGATAACATTGAGGTCTGTGGTGAATTAGGAAACATCTTCAGAAAAAACAAGAAAGAAGCTTTCTGAGAAACTGCTTTGTGATGTGTGTATTCATCTCACTGAGTTAAACCTTTCTTTAGATTCAGTAGTTTGGAAACAGTGTTTTTGTCCATTCTGCGAGTGGACATTTTGGAGCTCATTGAGGCCAATGGCAAAAAAGCAAATATCCCAGAATGAAAACTAGATGGAAGCTATCTGAAAAACTGCTACGTGATTTGTGCATTCATCTCCCAGAGTTAACATTTTCTTTTCATTCAGGAGTTTGGAAACACTATTTTTGTATAAACTTCAAAGGGATATTTTGGAGAGCTTTTAGGCCTATGCTGAAAAAGGAAACATCTTCAGATAAAAACGAGAAAGAAGCTTTCTGAGAAACTGCTTTGTGATGTCTGCATTCATCTCACAGAATTAAATGTTTCTCTGGATTCAGCAGTAGGAATCAGTGCTTTTGTCTTGTCTGCAAATGGACATTTGGGAGCTCATTGAGGCCAATGGTGAAAAAGTGGTTATCAAAGGATAAAAACTAGAAGAAAACTACCTGGGAAACCTCTTAGTTATATGTGCATTCATCTTACAGAATTAAACCTTTCTTTTCATTCAGCAGTTTGGAAACACTGTTTTTGTAGAATCTGCAAAGGGATATTTCAGATAGCATTGAGGTTTATGGTGAAATAGGAAATGTCTTCAGATAAAAAAATAGAAAGAAGCGTTCTGATAAACTGTTTTGTGATATTTGCATTCATCTCACCAAGTTAAAACTGTTCTTGGATTCAGTAGTTGGGAAAGAGTGTTTTGTCCATTATGGGAATGGACATTTGGGAGCTCACAGAAGCCAGTGGTGAATAAGTGAATATCCCTGAATAAAAACTAGATGGAAGCAATCTGAGAAACTGTTACATGATGTGTGCATTCATCTTGCAGAGTTAAAACTCTTTTCATTCATCATTTTGGAAACACTGTTTTTGTACCATCTTCCAAGGGTTATTTCAGAGAGCATTGAAGCTTATGGTGAAAAAGGAAACAACTTCAGATAAAACAGAGAAAGAAGCTTTCTGAGAAACTGCTTTGTGATGTCTGCATTCATCTCATAGAATTAAACCTTTCTTTGGATTCAGCTGTTTGAAAACACTGTTTTTGTCAATTCTGTGAATTGACCATTGGCAGCTCGTGTAGGCTAATGGCAAAAAAGAAAATATCCCAGGAAGAAAACTAGAAGAAACCTATTTGAAAAACTGCCTTATGATGTGTGCATTCACCTCACTAAGTTAAACCTGTCTATTCATTCAGCAGTTTGGAAACAATGTTTTTGTAGAATCTGAAATTGGATATTTTGGAGAGCATCACAGCCTATGGTAAAATATGAAACATCTTCAGATAAAAACTAGAAAGAAGCTTTCTGTGAAACTGATTTGTGAAGTCTGCATTCATCTCAGAGAGTTAAAGCCTGCTTTGGATTCACCATTTGGAAACACAGTTTTTGTTCGTGGTACGAATGAACATTTGGGAGCTCACTGAGGCCAATGGCAAAAAAATCAAATATTCCAGGATAAAAACTAGAAGAAAGCTATCTGAAAAGCCACTTAGTAAGGTATGCATTCATCTCATAGACTTAAACCTTTCTTTTCATTCAGCAGTTTGGAAATACTGTTTTTGTAGAATCTGCAAAGCAATATTTTCAGAGAGCATTGGGGCCTATAGTGAAAAAGGAAACATATTGAGATGAAAATTAGAAAGAAGCTTTCTGAGAAACTGCTTTGTGATGTGTGCATTCGTTTCACAGAGTTAAACTTATCTTTGGATTCAGCAGTTTGGAAACACTGTTTTTGTCCATTCTGCAAATAGACATTTGGGAGCTCTTTGAGTCCAATGAAGAAAAAGCAAATTGCCCAGGATAAATACTAGACAGAAGCTATGTGAGAAACTGCTATGTGATGTGTGCATTCACCTCGAAGAGTTAAAACTTTCTTTGCACTCAGCAGTTTGGAAACACAGTTTTTGTCCATTCTGTGAATGGACAGTTGGGAGCTCACTGAGACCAATGGTGAAAAGTGAATATCCCATGTTAAAAAGTACACGGAAGCTATCTGAGAAACTGCCCTGTGTTGAGTGCATTCATCTCATAAATTTAAACTTTTCTTTCCATTCAGCAGTTTGGAAACACTGTTTTTGCCCATTCTGAGAAAGGACATTTGAAGGCTCTTTGAGACCAATGGCAAAAAAGCGAGTACACCAGGATAACAAAAAGACAGAAGCTATCAGAGAAACTGCTAATTGATGTGTGCATTCATCTCGTAGATTTAAACCTTACATTTCATTCAGCAGTTTGGAAACTCTGTTTTCACTACAATTTGTAAAGTGATGTTTCAGAGAGCATTGAGGCCTATGGTGAAAAAGGAATCATCTTCAGATAAAAACTAGAAAGAAGTTTCCTGAAAAACTGCTTTGCAATGTCTGCATTCCTTTCACAGAGTTACATTTCTTTGGATTCAGCAATTTCAAACACTGTTTTTGTCAAATCTGCAAAGGAATGTTTTGGAGAGCATTGAGGCCTGTGTTGGAAAGAGAAACATCTTCACATAAAAACTAGAAAGAAGCTTCCTGAGGAACTGCTTTGTGATGTGTGCATGCATCTCACAGACTTAAAATTTTCTTTTGATTTAATAGTTTGGGAACACCATTTTTGTCCATTCTGTGAATGGACATTTCAGAGCTCTTTGAGGCCAGTGGTGAAAAAATGAATATCCCATTATAAAAACTAGAAGGAAGCTATCTGAGAAACTGCTTTGTAATGTGTGCATTCATCTAGCAGAGTTAAATTTACCGTTTCACACAGCAGTTTGGAAACACTGCTTTTGTAGAATCTGCAAAGGGATATTTTGGAGAGCATTGAGACCTATGGTGAGATAAGCAACATCTTCAGATAAAAACTATAAAGAAGGCTTCTGAGAAACTGCTTTATGATGTGTGCATTCAACTCAGAAAGTTAAAACTTTCTGTGGATTCAGTAGTTTGGAAAGAGTGTTTTTGTCCAATTCAGTGAATGCACAATTGGGAGCTCATTAAGGCCAATGGTGAAAAAGAGAATATCTCAGGGTAAAATCTAGGTGGAAACTATCTGACAAACTGCCATGTGATGTGTGCATTCATCTCACAGAGTTAAACCTTTCTTTGGATTCAGCAGTTTGGAAACAATGCTTTTGTATAATCGTCAAAGGATATTTAGGAAAGCATTGAGGCCTATGGTGAAGAAGAAGACATCTTCATATAAAAGCTAGAAAAAACTTTTCTGAGTTACTACTTTCTGAAGTGTGCATTCATTTCAGAGACTTAAACCTTTCTTTATATTCAGTAGTTTGGAAATGCTGCTTTTGTGCATTCTGCAAATGGACATTGCAGAGCTCTTTGAGGCCAATGGCAAAAAATGAAATATCCCAGGATAAAACTTGAAGGAAGCTATCTGAGAAACTACCTTGTGATTTGTGCATGCATCTCACAGAGTTAAACCTTACATTTCCTTTAGCAGTTTGAAAAAAATTGTTTTTGAGAAATCTGCAGAGGGATATTTCTGATAGTATTGAGGCCTACGGTGAAATAGGAACCACCTTCAGCTTAAAAATGGAAAGAAGCTTTCTCAGACATGGCTTTGTGGTGTGTTCATTCATATCACAGAATTAAACCGTTCTTTGCATTCAGCAGTGTGCAAACGCTGTTTTTGTCCATTCTGTGAATGGACATTTGGGAGTTCATTGTGGCCAATGGGCAAATGCGAATCTCCCAGGAAAAAAAGTGGACAGAATCTATCTGAGAAACTGCTATGATGTGTGCATTCACCTCACAAGTCAAACCTTTCTTTTCATTCAACAGTTTGGAAACAATCTTTTGTATTTCAGCAGTTTAGAAAAACTGTTTTTACTAGAATCTGCAGAGAGATATTTCAAAGATCATTGAGGCTTGTAGTGAAAAAGGAAACAACTTCAGATAAAAACTAGAAAGAAGCTTTCTGAGAAACTGCTTTGTGATGTGTGCTTTCTTCTGACAGGGTTACATCTTTTTTTGGATTCAGCAGTTTGGAAACACTGTTTATGTCCATTCTGTGAATGGATATTTGGGAGCTCATTAAGGCCAATGGGGTATAAGTGAATATCCCAGGATAAAAAGTAGAAGGAAGCTACCTTATAAGCTGCTATATGATGTGTGCATTCATCTCACAGAGTTAAACCTTTCTTTGGATTCCTCAGTTTGGAAACACTGTTTTTGTCCATTCTGAGAATGGATATTTTGGAGCTCATTGAGGCCAATGGCGAAGAAGGGAATATCCCAGGATAAAAACTCGAAGAAACCTATCTGAGAAACCGCTTTGTGATGTGTGCATTCATCTCACAGAGTTAAACCTTTCTTTTCATTCAGCTGTTTGGAAACACTGTTTTTGTAGGATCTGCAAAGGAATATTTCACTGAGCATTGAGGCCCATGGTAAAAAAGGAAGCCTCTTCAGATAAAAACTAGAAAGAAGTCTTCTGAGAAACTGATGTGTAATGAGTGAATTCATCTCATGGAGTTAAATCTTTCTTTGTATACAGTACTTTGGAAAGTGTATTTTTGTCCACTCTGTGAATGGACATTTGGGAGTTCATTGCAGCCAATGGCAAAAAAGAAAATATTGCAGGAAAAAAACTAGAAGGAAGCTATCTCAGAAACTGCTTTATGATGTGTGCATTCATGTCACAGAGTTAAACTTTTCTTTTCATAGAGTAGTTTGGAAACACTGTTTTTGTAGTATCTGCAAAGGGATATTTCGGAGAGAATTGAGGCCTATGGAGAAATAGGAAACATATTCAGATAAAAAGCAGAACGAAGCTTTTTGAGAAACCACTTTGTGTTCTGTGCTTTCATTTCTCAGAGTTAAACCTTTCTTTGGATTCAGTACCTTGCAAAGAGTGTTTTTGTCCACTCTGCAAATGGGTATTTGGGAGCTCTTTGTGGCCAGTGGTGAAAATGCAAATATCCCAGGATAAAAACTAGATGGAAGATATCTGAGAAACTGCTATGTGATGTCTGCATTGAACTCACAGAGGTAAATGTTTCTTTCCATTCAGCAGTTTGGAAACACTGTTTTTATAGTATCTGCAAGTGGACATTTTGGATAGTTTTGAGGTCTCTGTTGGAAAAGGAAATATCTTAGATAAACACTAGAAAGAATCTGAGTAACTGCTTTGTGATGTGTGCATTCATCTCACGTACTTAAACCATTCTTTGGATTCAGTAGTTTGGAAACACTTTCTGTCCATTCTGCGAATGGACATTTGTGAGCTCACAGAAACCAATGGCAAAAAAGTGAATATCCCAGGATAAAAACTAGGAGGAAGCTATCTGAGAAACCACTTTGTGATGTGCACATTCTTCTGACAGAGTTAAGCTTTTCTGTTCATTCAGCAGCTTGGAAACACTGTTTTTGAAAAATCTGCAAAGGGATATTTCATAGAGCATTGACACCTATGGAGAAATAGGAAACATCTTCAGATAAATACTAGACAGACACTTTCTGACAAACTGCTTTGTGATGTGTACATTCACCTCACAGAGTTAAAACTATGTTTGGATACAGTAGTTTGGAAAGAGTATTTTTGTCCACTGTGTGAATGGGTATTTGGGAGCTCATTGTGGCCAGTGGTGAAAAAGTGAATATCCCAGGATAAAAACTAGATGGAAGATATTTGAGAAAGTGATATGTGATGTCTGCATTGAACTCACAGAGTTAAACGTTTCTTTCCATTCAGCAGTTTGGAAACACTGTTTTTGTAGAATCTGCAAAAGGATATTTTGGAGAGCATTGAGGCCTATGGAAAAATAGGAAATATCTTCAGATAAAAACTAGAAAGAAGATTTCTGAGTAACTGCTTTGTGATGTGTGCATTCATCTCACAGAGTTAAACTTTTCCATGAATTTAGCAGTTTGGAAACACTGTTTTTTAGAATCTGCAAAGGGATATTTCGGAGAGCATTGAGGCCTATGTTGGAAAAGGAAACATCTTTAGATAAAAACTAGAAAGAAACTTTCTGAGAAACTGATTTGTAATGAGTGCATTCATCTCACAGATTTAAATTTTTCTTTGGATTCAGTAGTTTGGAAAGAGCGTTTTTGTCCTATCTGCGAATGGATATTTGAGAGTTCATTGAGACCAATGGTGAAAAAATGAATATTCCTGGGTAAAAACTAGAAGGAAACTCTCTGAGAAACTGCTTTGTGACGTGTGCTTTCATCTCACAGAGTTAAACCTTTCTTTTCATTCCGCAGCTTGGAAAAACTGTTTTCATAGAATCTACAAAGGGATATTTTGGGGAGATTTGAAGTCTATGTTGAAACAGGAAACATCTTCAGATAAAAACTAGAAGGAAGTTTTCTATGAAACTGCTTTGTGATGTATGCATTCATCTCACAGAGTTAAACCTTCCCTCAAATTCAGTAGTTTGGAAACACTGCTTTTGTCCAATCTGTGAATGGACATTTGTGCACTCATTGAGGCCAATGGCAAAAAAGGGAATATCCCAGGATAAAAACTAGTCAGAAGCTATCTGAGAAAATGTTTTTTTATGTGGGCATTCATCTCACAGACTTAAACCTTTCTTTTCATTCAGCAGTTTGGAAACACTGTTTTTGTCGAATATGCAAAAGGATATTTCGTAAAGCATTGAGACCTAGGGTAAAAAAGGACACATTTTTGGATAACAAGTACAAAGGAGTTTTCCAGGAAACCACTTTGTGATAAGTGTGTTCATCTCACAGAGTTAAACCTTGCTTTGGATTCAGTAGTTTGTAGAGAGTGTTTTTGTCCATTCTGCCAATGGAAAATTGGGAATTCATTCAGGCCTAAGGTGAAAATGAGAATATCCTAGGATAAAAACTAGAAGAAAGCTAACTTAGAAACCACTTTGTGATGTGTGCATTCATCTCAGATAATTAAATCTTCCTTTTCATACAGCAGTTTGGAAACACTGTTTTTATAGTATCTGCATAGGGATATTTCAGAGAGCATTGAGGCCTGTGGTAAAAAAGAAAACATCTTTAGATAAAAAGTAGAAAGAAGCTTTCTGAGAAACTGCTTTGTGATGAGTGCATTCATCTCACAGAGTTAAACCGTTCTTTGGATTCAGTAGTTTGGAAGGAGTGTTTGTATCCATTCTGCAAATGGACATTTGGGAGCTCATTGAGGCCAACAGTGAACAAGCGAATAGTCCAGGATAAAAAATAGAAGGAAGCTATGTGAGAAACTGCTTTCTGATGTGTGCATTCATCTTGCAGGGTTCAACCTTTCTTTTCATTCAGCAATTAGGAAACACTGTATTGTATAACCTGAGAAGATGTATTTAGGAGTGCATTGATGCCTCTGGTGCAAAAGAAAACATCTTCAGTTAAAAATTAGAAAGAAGGTTTCTGAGAAACTGCTTTATGTTGTGTGCACTCATCTCAGAGAGTTAAAACCTACATTGGATTCAGCAGTTTGTAAACAATGTCTTTGTCCATTCTGTGAATGGACTTTGGAGAACCCCTTCAGGCCAGTTATGAAAAAGTGAATAACCCACAATAAAAACTAGAAGGAAGCTATCTGAGAAACTGCTGTGTGATATGTGCATTCACCTCACAGAGGTCAACCTTTCTTTTCATTCAGCAGTTTGGAAACACTGTTTTTGTAGAATCTGCAAGGGGATATTTGTGATTGCATTGAGGCTATTGTCAAAAAGGGAACATCTTCAGATTAAATCTAGAAAAATGCTTTCTTAGAAAGTGCTTTGTGGTTTTGATTTACACTTCTCTGATGGCCAGTGATGATGAGCATTTTTTCATGTGTTTTTTGGCTGCATAAATGTCTTCTTTTGAGAAGTGTCTGTTCATGTCCTTCGCCCACTTTTTGATGGGGTTGTTTGTTTTTTCTTGTAAATTTGTTTGAGTTCATTGTAGATTCTGGATATTAGCCCTTTGTCAGATGAGTAGGTAGCGAAAATTTTCTCCCATTTTTTAAGTTGCCTGTTCACTCTGATGGTAGTTTCTTTTGCTGTGCAGAAGCTCTTGAGTTTAATTAGATCCCATTTGTCAATTTTGTCTTTTGTTGCCATTGCTTTTGGTGTTTTGGACATGGAGTCCTTGCCCATGCCTAACCACTATGAGATACCATCTCACACCAGTTAGAATGGCAATCATTAAAAAGTCAGGAAACAACAGGTGCTGGAGAGGATGTGGAGAAATAGGAACACTTTTACACTGTTGGTGGGACTGTAAACTAGTTCAACCATTGTGGAAGTCAGTGTGGCGATTCCTCAGGGATCTAGAACTAGAAATACCATTTGACCCAGCCATCCCATTACTGGGTATATACCCAAATGACTATAAATCATGCTGCTATAAAGACACGTGCACATGTATGTTTATTGCGGCATTATTCACAATAGCAAAGACTTGGAACCAACCCAAATGTCCAACAATGACAGACTGGATTAAGAAAATTTGGCACATATACACCATGGAATACTATGCAGCTATAAAAAATGATGAGTTCATGTCCTTTGTAGGGACATGGATGAAATTGGAAATCATCATTCTCAGTAAACTATCGCAAGAACAAAAAACCAAACACCGCATATTCTCACTCATAGGTGGGAATTGAACAATGAGATCACATGGACACAGGAAGGGGAATATCACACTCTGGGGACTGACGTGGGGTGGGAGGAGGGGGGAGGAATAGCATTGGGAGATACACCTAATGCTAGATGACGAGTTAGTGGGTGCAGCGCACCAGGATGGCACATGTATACATATGTAACTAACCTGCACAATGTGCACATGTACTCTAAAACTTAAAGTATAATAAAAAAAAAAACAAGCAAAAAAAAAAAAAAAAGAAAGTGCTTTGTGATATCTGTATTCATCTCACAGTTAAACCTTTTTTTTTATTCTGCAGTTTGGATACACTCTTTTTGTCCATTCCGTGAATACACATTTAAGAGCTGACTGAGGCCAATGTGAAAAAGTGAATATACCAGGATAGAAACTAGAAGGAAGCTCTCTGAGTGAACACTTTGCTATGTATGCATTCACCACATAGAGTTAAACATTTCTTTTCTTTCAGCATTTTGGAAACACTGTTTTGGTAGAATCTGAGAAGCAATATTTTGGTTCTCATTGAGGCCTACAGGGAAAAGGGAAACATCCTCAGATAAAAATTAGAAAGAGGATTTCTGAGAACATGCTTTCTGATGTGTGAATTCATCTCACTGTTAAACCTGCCTTTGGATTTGGCACTTTGCAGACACTGTTTTTGTAGAATCTGAGAAGAGATATTTTGGAGCTCTTTGAGACATTCAGTGAAAAAGGAAACATATTCAGATAAAAATTAACAAGAAGCTATCTGAGAAAATGCTTTGTGATGTATGAATTTATCTTACAGTTAAACTTGTCTTTGGATTTTGCAGTTTGGAAACACTGTTTTGTAC
Organism: Homo sapiens; assembly: GCF_000001405.40. Classification (NCBI taxonomy): domain Eukaryota; kingdom Metazoa; phylum Chordata; class Mammalia; order Primates; family Hominidae; genus Homo; species Homo sapiens. The sequence continues at coordinate 41,777,076 of NC_000010.11, forward strand.
ATTCTGCGAATGGATATTTGGGAGCTAATTGAGGCCAATGAAGAAAAAGTGAATATACCAGGATAAAAACTAGAGGGAATCTATCTCAGAAACCACTTTGTGATGTGGACATTCATCTCGCAGACTTAAGTCTCTTTGTTCATTCAGCAGTATGGAAACACTGTTTTCATAGAATCGGCAAAGGGATTTTTGGGAGCACATTGAGGCCAATTGTGAAAAAGAAACATCTTCAGATAAATCTGGAAAGATGCTTTCTGAGAAACTGCTTTGTGATGACTGCATTCATCTCACAGTTAAACTTTTCTTTGGATTTGACAACTTGGAAACACTGTTTTTGTCCATTCTGTGAATGGACAGTTGGGAGCTCATTGAGACAAATTTTGAAAAAGCGAATATCCCAGGATAAAAACTAGAAGAATCACTCTGAGAAACGACATTGTGATGGGTGCATTCATTTCGCAGAGTTAAAACTTTCTATGGATTCAGTAGTTTGGAAACACTTTTTTTGTCCATTCTACAAATGGAAATTTGGGAGATCATTGAGGCCAATGGAGAAAAACTGAATATCCCAGGTTAAAAATTAGAAGGAAGCTATCTGAGAAACTGCTATGTGATGTGTGCATTCATCTCACAGAATGAAAACTTTCTTTTAATTCAGCAGTTTGGAAACCTCTTTTTGTAGAATCTACAAAGGGATATTTGGGAGTGATTTGAGACCTCTGGTGTAAAAGGAAACATCTTTAGAAAATAACTTGAAGGAGAAACTGCTTTGTGATGTGTGCATTCGTCTCACACAGAGTTAAACCTTTATTTGGATTCAGCAGTTTGGAAACTCTCTTTTTGTTCTTATTGCCAACAGACATTTAGGAGTTCATTGAGGCCAATGGTGAAAAAGCGAATATCCCAGGAAAAAAACTAGAAGGAAGTTATCTGAGAAAGAGCTTTCTGATGTGTGCATTCATCTCACAGAGTTAAAGCTTTCTTTTCATTCAGCAGTTTGGAAACACTGTTTTTGTAGAAATTGCAAAGGGATATTTGGGAGCCCATTGAGACTCATGGTAAAAAAATAAACATCTTGAGATAAAAACTAGAAAGAACCTTTCTGAGAAACTGTTTTTTTGTGTTTGCATTCATCCACAGTGCTAAAACTTTCTTTGCATTCAGCCGATTGGAAACACTCTTTTTATCCATTTGGCAATTGGACATTTGGCAGTTTATTGAGTCCAATGGCAAAAAAGCGAATACCCCCGGATAAACACTAAAAGGAAGCTATCTGAAAAACCGCTTTGTGACGTGTGCATTCATCTTGCAGAGTTAAACCTTTCCTTTCATTCAGCTGTTTGCAAACACTTTTTTTGTAGCATCTGTGAAGGGATACTTGGGAGCACATTGAGGTCTATGGTGAAAAAGAAAACATCTTCAATGGAAATTAGAAAGAAGCTTTCTGAGAAACTCCTTTGGGATGTTTGCATTCATCTCACAGATTTAAATCTTTATTTGGATTCAGCTGTTTGAAAACTCTGTTTTTTCCATTCTGCGAATGTACATTTAGGAACTCACTGAGACCAACAGCGAAAAATCGAATTTCTCAGGATAAAAACTCAGAGGAAACTATCTCAGAAATCACTTTGTGATGTGTGCATTCATCTCACAGAGTTAAAACTTACTTTAAATTTAGCAGTTTGGAAAGACTCTTTTTGTTTTTAACGTGAATGGACATTTGGTAGCTCATTGAGGTGAATGCTGAAAAAGTGAATATCCCAGGAAAAAAACTAGAAGTAAGCTATCTGGGAAACAGATTTGTGATGTGTGCATTCATCTTGCAGAGTTAAACTTTTCTTTTCATTCAGCAGTTTGGAAACTTTTTTGTAGCATCTGTGAAGGGATATTTGGGAGCACATGGGGGTCTATGGTGAAAAAGAAAACACCTTCATATAAAAACTAGAAAGAAGCTTTCTGAGAAACTGATTTTTGATGTCTGCACTCATCTCACAGTGTTAAGACCCAGGACAAAAACTAGAAGGAAGCTATCTGGCAAACCGATTTGTGAAGTGTGCATTCATCTCACAAAATTAAACATTTCTTTTCATTCAATAGTTTGAAAACACTGTTTTTCTAGAATCTATTAAGGGATATTTGGGACCGCATTTTGGCCTATGGTGAAAAAGGAAACATCTTCAGATAAAAACTAGAAAGAAGCTTCCTGAGAAACTGCTTTGTGCTGTTGGCATTCTTCTCACAGAGTTAAAACTTTCTTTGGATGCAGCAGGTTGGAAAAACCATTTTTGTTGAATCTGCAAAGGGATATTTGGGAGTGCATTTAGGCCTGTGATTAAAAATGATACATCTTCAGATAAAAACTAGAAAAAAAGATTTCTGAGAAACTGCTTTGTGATGTGTGAATTCATCTTACACAGTTAAAACATTCTTTGGATTCAGCAGTTTGGAAACACTTTTTTTGTCCATTCTGCAACTGGCCATTTGTGAGTTCATTGACACCAATTGCGAAAAAAAGAACATCCCAGGATAAAAACTGTAAAACAGCTCTCTGAGAAACTACATTGTAATGTGTGCATTCATCTCGAAGAGTTAAAACTTTCTTTTCATTCTTCAATTTGGGGGGCCCTGTTTTTGTAGAATCTGCAAAGGGATACTTGGGAGCACTTTGAGGTCTATGGTGAGAAAGGAAACATCTTCAAATAATAGTAAGAAAGAAGCTTTCTGAGAAAATGCTTTGTGATGTGTGCATTCATCTCACAGTGTTAAACCCATTTTTGATTCAGCAGTTTGGGAACACTGTTTTTGTTCTTAATGTGAAAGGACATTTCGGAGCTCACTGAGGCCAATGGCAAAAAAGTGAATATCCCAGGATAAAAACTACAAGGAAGCTGTCTGAGAAACTGCTTTGTGATGAGTGCATTCACCTTACAGAGTTAAACTTTTCTTTTCATTCAGCAGTTTGGAAATACTGTTTTTGTTGAATTTGCGAAGGGATATTTAGGAGCACATTGAGGTCCATGGTGAAAAAGAAAATATCTTCAGATAAAAACTAGAAGATTTCTGTGAAACTGCCTTGTGATGTGTGCATTCATCTCACAGTGTTCAATATTTCTTTGGGTTCAGCAGTTTGGAAAAACTCTTTTTGTCCATTCTGTGAATGGACATTTGTGAGCTCCTTGAGGCCAATGGCAAAAAAGTGAATATCCCAGGATAAAAACTAGAAGGAAGCTCTCTGAGAAACTGCATTGTGATGTTTGCATTCATCTCACCGAATTAAACCTTTCATTTCATTCAGTAGTTTGGAAACACACTTTTGTAGAATCTGTGAAGAGATATTTCGGAACGCATGGAGCCCTATGGTGAAAAATGAAGCAACTTCAGAAAAAAATCTGAAAGAAACTTTCTGAGAAACTGCTTTATGATACGTACATTCATCTGACAGAGTTAAAATTTCTTTAGATTCAGCAGTTTGGAAATAGTTTGTGTCCATTCTGTGAATGGGCATTTGGGAGAACATTGAGGGTAATAGCAAAAAAGGGAATATCCCAGGATAAAAAGTAGAAGCAAGCTATCTGAGAAACTGTTTTGTGATGTGTGCATTCACCTCACAGAGTTAAACTTTCCTTGGAATCAGCAGTTTATAAACACTCTTTTTGTTTTTAATGCAAATGGACATTTCATAGCTCATTGAGGCCAATAGCAAAAAAAGCGAATATACCAGGAAAAACTAGAAGGAAGCTAACAGAAATGGATTTGTGGTGTGTGCATTCATCCTGCAGAGTTAAACCTTTATTTTCATTGAGCAGTTTGGAAACACTGTTTTTGTAGCATATACAAAGGGATATTTGGGAGCGCATTGAGGCCTATGGTGAAAAAGGAAACATCTTCATATAAAAACTAGAAAGAAGCTTTCTGAGAAACTGGTTTTTGATGTGTGCATTCATCTCAGAGTCTTAAACTTTCTTTGATTTCACCTGTTTGGAAACACACTTTTTGTCCATTCTGTGTATGGACATTTGGGAGCCCAGTGAGGCCAATAGCGAAAAAGCAAACATCCCAGGACAAAAACTAAAAGGAAGCTATCTGAGAAGCCACTATGTGACGTGTGCTTTCATCTTGCAGAGTTAAACCTTACTTTTCATTCAGCAATTTGAAAACACTGTTTTTTTAGAATTAACAAAGGGATATTTGAGACTTCATTGTGGCCTATGGTGCAAAAGGAAACATCTTCAGATAAATACTAGAAAGAAGCTTTCTGAGAAACTGCTTTGTGATGTGTGAATTCATCTCACAGAGTTAAAATTTTCTTTGGATTCAGCAGCTTGGAAACACTGTTTTTGTTGCATCTGTGAAGGGATATTTGAGAGTGCATTGAGGCCAGTTGTTAAAACAAAATATCTTCAGAAAAAAACTAGAAAGTAGCTTTCTGAGAAACAGCTTTGTGATGTGTGAATGCATCTCACAGAGTTAAACCATTCTTTGGTTTCAGCAGTTTGGAAACACTGTTTTTGTCCATTCTGCAAATGGCCTTTCATGAGCTCATTGAGGCCAATGGCAAAACAGCAAATATCCCAGGAAAAAAACTAGAAAACAGCCCTCTGAGAAACTGCATTTTGTTGTGTACATTCATCTCGAAGAGTTAAAACTTTCTTTTAATTCTGCAGTTTGGAAACACTGTTTTTGTAGAATCTGTGAAGTCATATTTCAGAGCAATTTGAGGCCTATGGTGAAAAGGAAACATCTTCACATAAAAGAAAGAAAGAAGCTTTCTGAGAAACTGCTTTGTGATGTGTGCATTCATGTCACAGTGTTACACCTTTGTTTGGATTCAGCAGTTTGGAAAAACTATTTTTGTCCATTCTGCAAAAGGACATTTGGAAGCTCCCTGGGGCCAATAGCAAAAAGATGAACATCCCAGGATAAAAAATAGAAGGAAGCTCTCTGAGAAGCCATATTGTCATGCTTGCAATCATCTCACAGAGATAAACTATCTTGTCTTTCAGCAGTTTGGAAACATGGTTTTTGTAGAATCTGCAAAGGGATATTTGGGAGCATACGGAGCCCTGTGGTGAAAAAGGTAACATCTTCAGATACAAAGTAGAAAGATGGTTTCTGAGAAACTGCTTTGTGATGTGTGCATTCATCTCACAGAGTAAAACATTTCTTTGGATTCAGCCATTTGGAAGCACTGTTTTTGTCCATTCTGTGAATGGATATTAGAGAACTTACTGAGACCAATGTGAAAAAGCAAATATCCCAGGATAAGAATTAGAAGGAAGCAATCTGAGAAACCGCTTTGTAATGTGTGCATTCATCTCGCTGTGTTAAGCCTTTCTTTTCACTCAGTAGTTTGGAAACACTGTTTTTGTAGCATCTGCGAAGTGACATTTGAGAGTGCATTGAGGCTGATGGTGAAAAAGGAAACACCTTTAACTAAAAACAAGAAAGAAAGTTTCTGAGAAACTGCTTTGTATTGTGTGCATTCATCTTACAGAGTTAAACATTTCTTTGGATTCTGCAGTGTGCAAACACTTTTTTTGTCCACTCTGCAAATGGACATTTGAGAACTCATTGAGGACAATGGGGAAAAAGCAAATATCCCAGGATAAAAACAAGAAGGAAGCTCTCTGAAAAACGAAATTGAGATGTGTGCATTGTTCTAACAGAATTAAACTTTTCTTCGGATTCAGCAGATTGGAAACACTGTTTTTGTCCATTCTGTGAATGGACATTTGGGAGTTCACTGACACCAATGGTGAAATAGGGAATATCCCAGGATTAAAACTACAAGGAAGCTATCTGAAAAAAAACGCTTTGTGTTGTGAGCATTCCTTTCACAGAGTTAAAACTTTCTTTTCATTCAGCAGTTTGGAAACACTGTTTTTGTAGAATCTGCAAAGGGATAATTCAGAGAGCACTGAGACCTATGGTAGAAAATGAAATATCTTCAAATAAAAACTTCAGGGATGCTTTCTGAGAAACCTCTTTGTTATGCTTGCATTCTTCTTGCAGAATTAAACCTGTCCTTTAATTCAGCAGTTTGGAAAATACTGTTTTTGTAGAATCTGCAAAGGGATATTTTGGAGGGCATTGAGGCCTATGGTGAAAAAGGAAACAAACATCTTCAGTCAAAAACTAGAAAGACGTTTCTAAGAAACTGCTTTGTGATGTGTGCATCCATCTCACAGATTTAAACTTTTCTTTGGATTCAGCAGTTTCTAAACACTGTTTTTGTCCATTCTGCGAATAGACTTTTGGGAGCTCATTGAGGCCAATGTTGAAAAAGCGAATATCCCTGGATAAAAACCAGAAGGAATCTATTTGAGAAACCGTTTTGTGATGAGTGCCTTCCTTTCACAGAGTTAAAACTTTCTTTTCCTTCAGCAGTTTGGAAGCACAGTGTTTGAAGAATCTGCAAAGGGATATTGCAGAGAGCATTGACGCCTAAGTTTAAAAAGGAAACATCTTCAGATAAAAATTAGAAAGAAACTTTGTGAGAAACTGCTCTGTGATGTGTGCATTCATCTCACAGAGTTAAGCCTTTCTTTGGATTTAGAAGTTTGGAAACACTGTTTTTGTCCATTCTGTGAATGGACCTTTGGGATCTCATTGAGGCCAATGGCAAAAAAGCAAACATAACATGAGAAAAACTAGAAGGAAGCTATCTGAGAAACGGCTTTGTGATGTGTACATTCATGTCACAGAGTTAGACCTTTCTTTGGATTCAGTAGTTTGGAAAAAGTATTTTTGTCCATTCTGTGAATGGACAGTTGGGAGTCCTGTGAGGCTAATGGCAAAAAAGTGTGTATCCAGGGAGAAAAACTAGAATGAAGCTATGTGAGAAACTGCTTTGTGATGTGTGCATTCATCTCACAAAGTTAAAGCTTTCTTTTCATACAGCAGTTTGGAAATAGTGTTTTGGTAGAATCTGTAAAGGTATATTTTGGAGAGCATTGAAAGCTTTGGGTAAAAAGGAAACATCTTCAGATAAAAACTATAGAGATGCTTTCTGAGAAACCTATTTGTGATGGGTTCATTCATCTCACAGAATTAAAACTTTTTTTCATTCAACAGTTTGGAAACTCTGTTTTTTTAGAATCTGCGTGGGGATATTTCAGAGAACAGTGAGGCCCATGGAGAAAAAGGAAATATCTTCAGGTAAAAACTAGAAAGAAGCTTTCTGAAAAACTGCTTTGTGATTTGGGAATTCATCTCACAGACTTAAAACTTTCTTTGGATTGAGTTGCTTGGAAAGAGTGCTTTTGTGTACTTAGTGAATTGACATTTGAGAGCTCATTGAGGCTAATGGTGAAAAAGTGAATATCCCAGGATAAAAACTAGATGGAAGCTATTTGAGAAACTTCTATGTGATGTGTGCATTCATCTCACAGAGATAAACCTTTCTTTTCATTCAGCAGTTTGGAAACTCTGTTTTTAAAAAATCTTCAAAGGAATAGTTGGATAGCATTTAGGCCTATCTTGAAAAATGAAACATCTACAGATACAAAAGAGAAAGAAACTTCTGAGAAACTGCTTTGTGACGTGTGCATTCATCTCACAGAGTTAAACCTTTATTTGGATTCAGTAGTAGTTTGAAAACACTTTTTTAATCAAATCCACAAAGGGATATTTCGTAGAGCATTGAGGCCTATGGTGACAAAGGAAAGATCTTCAGATAAAAACTTGAAAGAAACTTTCTGAGAAACTGCTTTGTAATGTGTGCATTCATCTCACAGAGTTAAAACTTTGTTTGGATACAGTAGTTTAGAAAGAGTGTTTTTGTGTATTTAGTGAATGGACATTTGAGACCTCATTGATGCTAATGGTGAAAAAGTGAATATCCCAGGATAAAAACTTGGTGGAAGCTATCTGAGAAACTGCTATGTAATTTCTGCATTCATCTTGCAGAGATAAAACTTACTTTGGATTCAGAAGTTTGGAAACACTGACACTGTTTTTGTACAATCTGCAAAGGGATATTTCTGACAGCATTGAGGGCTGTGATCAAAAAGGAAACATCTTCAGATAAATAATAGAAATAAGCTTTTGGAGACACTGCCTTGTGATGTGTTCATTCGTGTCACAGAGTTAAACCTTTCTTTGGATTCAGTAGTTTAGAAACAATGTTATTTTTGCATTCTGTGAATGGACATCTGGGAGCTCATTGGGGCCAATGGTGAATAAGGGAATATCCCAGGACAAAAACTAGTAGAAAGTTATTTGAAAAAATGCTTTGTGATGTTTTTATTCATCTCCCAGGGTTAAACGTTTTTTTCATTCAACAGTTTAGAAATCCTGTTTTTGTAGTATCTGCAAAGGGATATTTCAGAGAGTATTGAGGCCTATGGTGAAAAAGAAAACAGTTTCAGATAAAAACTAGAAAGAAGCTTTCTGAGAAACTGCTTTGTGATGTGTGCATTCATCTCACAGAGTTAAGCCTTTCTTTGGATTCAGCAGTTTGGAAACACTGTTTTTGTAGAATCTGCAAATGGATATATTGGAGCCATTAAGTCCTACTATGAAAAAGGAAATATCTTCAGATAAAAACTAGAAAGAAGCTTTCTAAGAAACTGCTTTTGGATGTGTGCATTCATGTGACAGAATTAAACCTTTCTTTGGATTCACTAGTTTGGAAACACTGTTTATTTTCCATCTATGAATGAACATTTGGGAGCTCATTGAGACCAATGGTAAAAGATTGAATATACCAGGAAAAAAACTAGAAGGAAGCTATCTGAGAAACTGCTTTGTGATGTGTGCATTTGTCTCAGAGAGTTAAAACTATTTTTAAATTCAGCAGTTTGGAAATACTGTTTTCATAGAATCTGCCAAGGGATACTTCAGAGAGCATTGAGGCCTGTGATGAAATAGGAAACATCTTCAGATAAAAACTAGAAGGAAGCTTTCTGAGAAACTGCATTGTGATATGTGTATTCATCTCACAGAATTAAACCTTTCTTTGGATACAGCAGCTTTGAAACACAGTATTTGTCAACTCAGCGAATGTACATTTGGGGGCACTTGGAAGCCAACTGTGAAAAAGAGAATATCCCAGGATCAAAACTAGAAGGAAGATATCTGATAAACTGCTTTGTGATATGTTCATTCATTTCACAGAGTTAAATCATCCTTTTCCTTCAGCAATTTGGAAACACTGTTTTTGTAGAATCTGCAAAGGGGTATTTCAGAGAGCATTGTGGCCTAGGGTGAAAAAGGAAACATCTTCAGATTAAAACTAGAAAGAAGTTTTCTGAGAAACTGCATTGTGATGTGTGCATTCATCTGGCAGAGTTAAACCTTTCTTTGGATTCGCCAATGGGACTATCCCAGGATAAAAAATAGAAGGAAGATATCCGAGAAAGTGCTTTGTGATATGTTCATTCATCTCACAGAGTTAAATCATCCTTTCCATTCAGCAATTTGGAAACACTATTTTTGTAGAATCTGCAAAGGGATATTTCAGAGAGCATTGTGGCCTATGGTGAAAAAGGAAACATCTTCCAATTGAAACTAGAAAGAAGATTTCTGATAAACTGTTTTGTGATGTGCACATTCATCTCACAGAGTTCAACCATTCCTTAGATTCAGTAGCTTCGAAACACTATTTTTGTCCATTCTGAGGATGGATATTTGGGAGCTCATTGACGCCAATGGTGAAAAAGTGACTATCCCAGGATTAAATTAGGAGGAGGTAGTCAGAGAAGCCGCTTTGTGATGTGTGCATTCATCTCACAGAGTTAAACATTTCTTTTATTTCAGCAGTTTTGAAACACTGTTTTTGTAGAATCTGCAAAGGGATATTTCAAAGAGGATTGAGGCCTATGTGGAAAATGAAAAGTAGAAAAAAGCTTGCTGAGAAACTGCTTTCTGATGTGTGCATTCATCTCACAGAATAAAACCTTTCTTTGCATTCAGCAGTTTGGAAACACAGTCTTTTTTATTCTGTGAATAGACATTTGGGAGCTCATTGAGGCTGATGGCGAAAAAGTGAATAACAGGATAAAAATAGAAGTAAGCTATCTCAGAAACTCCTATGTGAGTTGTGCATTCGTCTCAGAGAGGTAAAACTTTCTTTTCATTCAGCAGACTGGAAACAATGTTTTGTAGAATCTGCAAAGGGATATTTCAGAGAGCATTGAGGCCTGTGGTGAAAAAGGAAACATCTTCAGATAAAAACTAGAAAGAAGCTTTCTGGCAACCTGCTTTGTGATGTGTGCATTTTTCTCACAGACTTAAACCTTTCTTTGGATTCAGTAGTTTGTAAACACTGTTTTTGTCCATTCTACGAATGGACATTTGGAAGCTCACTGAGGACAATGGCAAAAAAGTGAATGTCCAAGGTTAAAAACTAGAAGGAACCTATCTGAGAAACCACTTTCTGATGAGTGCATTTATCTCAAAGAGGTAAACTTTTCTGTTCAACACTTTGGAAACACTGTTTTTGTAGAATCTGCTAAGGTATATTTTGGAGAGCATTGAGGCCTATGGTGAAAAAGGAAACATCTTCACAGGAAAACTAGAAAGAAGCTTTCTGGGAAACTGCTTTGTGATGTGTGCATTCATCTCACAGACTTAAACCTTTCTTTGGATTCAGTAGTTGGAAACACTGTTTTTGTCCATGCTGCAAATTGATATTTTGTAGCTCTTTTTGGCCAATCACTAAAAAGAGAATATTTCAGGATTAAAAACTAGATGGAAGCTATCTGATAAACTGCTATATGATGTGTGCATTCATCTCACAGTGTTAAACCTTTCTTTTCATTCAGCAGTTTGGAAATCTTGTTTTTGTAGAATCTGCAAAAGGATATTTCAGATAACATTGAGACATATGGTGAAACAGGAAATATCTTCAGATAAAAACTAGAAAGAAATTTTCTGAGAAACTGCTTTGTGATGTGTGCATTCATGTCACAGAGTTGAACCTTTCTTTAGATTCAGGAATTTGGAAACACTCTTTTTGTAGAATCTGAAAATGGGTATTTCAAAGAGCATTGAGGCCTATGGTGAAAAAGAATATATCTGCAGATAAAAATTAGAAAGAAGTTTTCTGAGAAATGGCTTTGTGTTGTGTGCATTCATCTCACAGACTTAAACATTTCTTTGGATTCAGTAGTATGGCAACACATTTTTTGTCCATTCTGCGAATTGACATTTGGGAGCTCATTGAGACCAATGGGGAAAAAGTGAATATCCTAGGATAAAAAGTAGTTGGAAGCTATCTGAGAAACTGCTATGGGATGTGTGCATTCATCTAACAGAGTTATTTGTCTCTTTAATTCAGCAGTTTGGAAACACTGTTTTTGTAGAAACTGCAAAGGGAAAATTTGGAGAGCATTGTGGCCTATGGTGAAAAAGGAAACATCTATCAATAGAAACTAGAAAGAAGCTTTCTGGGAAACTGCTTTGTTATGTGTGCAATCATCTCACTAGTTTAACCTTCCTTTGGATTCAGCAGTTTGGAAACACTGCTTTTGTCCATTCTGAGAATAGACATTTGGGAGCACATTCAGGCCAATGGTGAAAAAGTGAATATCCCAGAATAAAATGTAGGCAGAAGCTATCTGAGAAAATGCTATGTGATGTGTGCATTCATCTAACAGAGTTAAACCTTTCTTTTCCTTCAGCGTCTGGAAACACTGTTTTTGTAGAATCTGCAAAGGGATATTTAGGAGAGAATTGAGGCCTATGGTGAAAAAGGAAATATCTTCAGATAAAAACTAGAAAGAAGTTTTCTGAGAAATTGCTTTGTGATGTTTGCATTCATCTCACAGACTTAAACATTTCTTTGGATTCAGTATTATGGAAACACTGTTTTTGTCCATTCTGTGATGGACATTTTGGAACTCATTGAAGCCAATGGGGAAAAAGGGAATATCCCTAGATAAAAAGTAGACAGAAGCTACCTGAGAAACTGCTTTGTGATGTGTGCATTCATCTAACAGAGTTAAACTTTCTTTTCATTCAGCAGTTTGGAAACACTGTTTTTGTAGAATCTGCAAAGGGATATTTCTGAGAGCATTGAGGACTATGGTGAAAAAGGAATTATTGTCAGAAAAAAACTAGAAAGCTTTCTAACAAACTACTTTGTAGTGTATGCATTCATCTCACAGACTTAAAGCATTCTTTTGATTCAGTAGTTTGTAAACACTATTTTTGTCCATTCTGGGAATGGACATTTGGAAGCTCATTGAGGCTAATTTTGAAAAATCAAATATAACAGGATAAAAACTAGATGGAAGCTATCAGAGAAACCGTTTTGTGATGTGTGCATTCATATCACAGTGTTAAACCTGCCTTTCCATTCAGCAGTTTGGAAACACTCTTTTTCTATAATCTGCAAAGGCTAATTTCGGAGAGCATTGAGATCTACATTTAAAAAGGAGACATCTTCAGATAAATACTAGAAAGTAGCTTTCTGAACATTGCTTTGTGATGTGTGCATTCATCTCACAGAATTCAACCTTTCTTTGGATTCAGTAGATTGGAAAGAGTGTTTCTCTACAGTTTGTGAATGGACATTTGAGAGCTTATAGAGGCCAATGTTCAAAAATCGAATATCTCAGGATAAAGCTAGATGCAAGCTATCTGAGGAATTGCTATGTGATGTGTGTGTTCAGCTTGCACAGTTAAACTTTCTTTACATTCAGCAGTTTGGAAACACTGTTTTTGTAGAATCTGCAAAGGGATATTTCTGACAGCATTGAGGGTTATTTTGAAATAGGAAACATCTTCAGATAAAAACTATAAAAAGCTTTCTGAGAAACTGCTTTGCTATGTGTGCATTCATCTCACAGAGTTAAATATTTATTTTGATTCAGCAGTTTGGAAAAACTGTTTTCACAGAATCTGTAAGGGGATATCTCAAAGAGCTTTGAGGCGTATGGTGAAAAAGGAAACACCTTCGGATAAAAACTAGAAAGAAGCATTCTGAGAAACTGCTTTGTGATGTATGCATTCATCTCACAGACTTAAACCTTTCTTTGGATTCAGCAGCTTGGAAACAATTTTGTCCATTCTGCGAATGGACATTTGGAAGGTCATTGAGGCCAATGGCAAAAACCGGAATATTCCAGGATAAAAATTAAAAGGAAACTATTTGAGAAACTGCTGTGTTATGTGCGCATTCACCTTGCAGAGTTAAACCTTTCTTTTCATTCAGCTTTGGAAGCACTGTTTTTGTAGATTCTGCAGAGGGATATTTCAGAGATCATTGAGGGCTATGATGAAAAAGGAAACTTCTTCAGATACAAACTAGAAAGAAGCTTTCTGAGAAACTGCTTTGTGATGTGTGTATTAATCTTACAGACTTAAACCTTTCTTTGGGTTCAGTAGATTGGAAACACAGTTTTTGTCCATTCTGTGAATTGATATTTGGGAGCTCACTGTGGCCAATGGCAAAAAAGTGAATATCCCAGGATAAAAACTAGAAGGAAGCTATCTGAGGAACCACATTGTGATGTGTGCATTCATTACACAGAGTTAAACATTTCTTTTCATTCAGCAGTTTGGAAAAACAATTTTTTTTTAGAATCTGCAAAGTAATATTTCAGAGATTAATGTGAAGAAAGGAAATATCTTCAGATAAAAATGGAAAGAATCTTTCTGAGAAACTGCTTTGTGATGTGTGCATTCATCTCACAGAGATAAAACTTTCTTTGGATTCAAGAGTTTGGAAAGAGGGTTTTTGTCCATTCTGCAGATGGACATTTGCAAACTCATTGGGGCCAAAGGTGAAAAAGTGAACATCCCAGACAAAAACCTAGAAGGAAGCTAACTGAAAAGCCACTTTTGATGTGTGCATTCATTTCACAGAGTTATACATTTCTTTTCATTCAGCAGTTTGGAAACAATGTTTTTGTGGAATCCATAATGGGATATGTCGGAGAGCATTGTGGCCTATGGTGTAAAAAGGAAACATTTTCAGATAAAAACTGAAAAGGAGCTTTCTGAGAAACAGCTTTGTGATGTGTGCCTTTATGTCACAGAGATAAAACTTTCTTTGGATTCAGCAGCTTGGAAAATGTGTCTTTGTAGACTCTGCAAAGGGATATTTTGGAGAGCATTGAGACCTAAGGTGAGAAAGGAAACATCTTCAGATAAAAACTAGAAAGAAGCATTATGAGAAACTGCACTGTGATGTGTGCATTTATCTCACAGAGGTATTTTTTCTTTGGATTCAGGTTTGAAAACATGGTTTTTGTCCATTCTGTGAATGGACATTTGGGAGGTCATTGAGGCCAATGACAAAAAAGGAAATATCACAGGAGAATAATTAGAAGGAAGCTATCTGAGAAACCGCTTTTTGATGTGTGCATTCATCTCACAGAGTTAAACCTTTCTCTTCATTCAGCAATTTAAAAACTCTATTTTTGTAGAATCTTCAAAGGGATATTTTGGAGAGCGTTGCAGCCTATGGTGAAATACAAAACATCTTAAGATGAAAACAAGAAGAAAGCTTTCTGAGAAACTGCTTTGTTATGTGTGCGCTCATCTCACAGATTTAAACCTTACTTTGGATTAGTAGTTTGGAAACAGTGTTTTTGTGCATTCTGAAAATGTACTCATGGGAGTTCATTGGGACCAATGGCGAAAAAGATAATATCCCACAATATAAACTAGAAGGAGGTTATCTGAGAAACCATTTTTTGATGTGTGCATTCATCTCACAGAGATAAAACTTTATTTTCACTCAGAGGTTTGGAAGCACTGCTTTTTGGAACATGCAAAGGGATATTAAGGGGAGCATTGAGCCCTACGGTGAAATTGGAATCATTTTCAGCCTATGGTGAAAAAGGAAATATCTTCACATATAAACTAGACAGAATCTTTCTGAGAAACTACATTGTGATGTGGGCTTTCATCTCACAGAGTTGAATCTTTCCTTTGATTGAGAAGTTTGGGAAGAGTCTTTTCGTAGAATCTGCAAAGGGATATTTGGGATCCTTTTGAGGCCTATGGTGAAAAGGAAATATCTTCCTATAAAAACTAGACAGAAGCTTTCTGAGAAACTTCTTTATGATGTGTGCATTCATCTCACAGAGAAGAACTTTTCATTTGATTGAGCATTTTGGAAACAGTCTTTTTCAAGAATCTGCAAAGGGATAATTGGGAGCCATTTGAGGCCTGTTTTGAAAAATTAATTATCTTCTTATAAAAACTAGAGAGCAATTTTCTGAGAAACTCTTTTGTGATGTCTGCATTCATCTCACAGAATTGAACATTTCTTTTGATTGAACGGTTTGGAAACAGTCTTTGTAGAATCTGCAAAGGGATATTTGAGGGTGCTATGAGGCCTATGCTGAAAAATGAAATATCTTCACATAAAAACTAGACAGAAGCTTTCTGACAAACTTCATTGTGATGTGTGCATTCATCTCACAGAGTTGGACATTTCTTTTGATTGAGCAGTTTGGAAACAGTCTTTTTATAGAAGCTGCAAATGGATATTTCTGAGCAGTTTGTGTCCCGTGGTGAAAAAGGAAATAACTTCATATAAAACTAGACAGAAGCTTTCTGAGAAAATTCTTCATGATGTGCATTGAACCCAGAGTCTTGAACTTTTCTTTTGATTCAGCAGTTTGGAAACAGTCTTTTTGTAGAATCTGCTAGGAGATATTTGGGATCCCTTTGAGGCCTATAGTGAAAAAGGAAATATGTGCACATAAAAACTATACAAAATTTTCTGAGAAACTTCTTTGGAATGTGGGCATTCATCCCACAGAGTTGAACCTCTCTTTAGATTGAGCAGTTTGGAAGCAGTATTTTTGTAGGATCTGCAAAGGGATATTAGGGATCCCTTTGAGGCCTATGGTGAAAAAGGTAGTATCTTCATATGAAAACTAGACAGAAACTTTCTGAGAAAGTTCCTTGTGATGTGTGCATTCTTCTCAAAGAGTTGAAACTTTTTTTGATTCAGCAGTTTGGAAAAGGTCTTTTTCTAGAATCTGCAAATGGATATTTCTGAGTGGTTTCAGAATTATGGTGAACAAGGAAATATCCTCACATAAAAACTAGACAGAAACTTTCTGAGAAACTTCTTTGAGATGTTTGCATTCAAGTCACAGCGTTGAACCTTTCTTTTGATTGAGCAGTTTGGAAACAGTCTTTATAAAGAATGTGAAAAGGGATATTTGGGATCCTTTTGAGGCCTATCGAGAAAAAGGGAATATCTTCACATAAAAACTAGACAGAAGGTTTCTGAGAAACTTCTTTGTGATGAGCGCATTCATCCCACAGTGTTGAAACTTTCTTTTGATTGGGAAGTTTGGAAAAGGTTTTTCTAGAATATGCAAAGAGATATTTCTGAGCGGTTTCAGGCCTATGGTGAAAAAGGAAATATCTTCACATAAAAACTAGACAGAAGCTTTCTGAGAAACTTTTTATCTAGTGTGCATTCAACTCACAGAGATGAACCTTTCTTTTGATTGAGAAGTTTGCAAACAGTCTTTTGGTAGAATCTGCAAAGGGATATTTGGGATCCCTTTGAGGCCTGTGGTGAAAAAGGTAATATCTTCACATAAAAACTAGACAGAAGCTTTCTGAGAAACTTGTTCATGATGTGTGCATTCATCTCACAGAGATGAACCTTTCTTTTTATTGAGCAGTGTGGAAACAGTCTTTTTCAAGAATCTGCAAATGGATATTTGGAATCCCTTTGAAGCCTATGGTGAAAAAGGGAATATCTTCACATAAAAACTAGACAGAAGCTTTCTCAGAAAATTATTTGTGATGTGTGCATTCATTTCAAAGAGTTGAAACTTTCCTTTGATTGAGCTGTTTGGAAACAGTCTTTTTGTAGAATCTGCAAAGGGATATTTCTGAGTGGTTTGAGGCCAATGGTGAAAAAGGAAACATTTTCATATAAAAATTAGACAGAAGCTTTCTGAGAAATTTCTTTGTGATGTGTGCATTCAACTCACAGAGATGAAACTTTTTTCTGATTCAGCAGTTTGGAATTAGTTTTCGGTAGAATCTACAAAGTGATACTTGGGATCTCTTTGAGGCCTATGGTGAAAAAGGAAATATCTTCACATAAAAACTAGACAGAATCTTTCTGAGAAACTTCTTTGTGAGGTTTGCTTTCATCTCACAGAGTTGAACATTTCTTTTGATTGAGAAGTTTGGAAAGAGTCTTTTTGTAGAAACTGCTAAGGGATATTTGGGATCCCTTTGAGGCCTATGGTGAAAAAGGAAATATCTTACTATAAAAACTAGACAGAAGTTTTCTGAGAAACTTCCTTATGATGAGTGCATTCATCTCATAGAGAAGAACTTTTCTTTTGATTGAGCAGTTTGGAAACAGTCTTTTTCAAGAATCTGCAAAGGTATATTTGGGAGCCGTTTGAAGCCTACTTTGAAAAACTAATTATCTTCATATAAAAACTAGAGGGAAATTTTCTGAAAAACTCTTTTGTGATGTCTGCCTTCATCTCACAGAGTTGAACCTTTCTTTTGATTGAGCAGTTTGGAAACAGTCTTTTTGTAGAATCTGCAAAGGGAGATTTGAGGGCGCTATGAGGCCTATGGTGAAAAAGGAAATATTGTCGCATAAAAACTAGACAGACGCTTTCTGAGAAACTTCATTGGGATGCGTGCACTCATCTCACAGAGTTGAACCTTTCTTTTGATTGAGAAGGTTGGAAACACTCTTTTTTTAGAATCAGCAAATGGATATTTGGAGCGCATTGAGGCCTATGTCAAAAAACTAAATATCTTCACATAAAAACTAGACAGAAGTATTTTGAGAAATTTCTTTGTAATGTATGCTTTCATCGCATAGAGTTGAATCTTTCTTTTGATTGAGCAGTTTGAAAACAGTCTTTTGGTAGAATCTGCAAATGGATATTTGGAGCACTTTGAGGCCTATGGTGAAAAAGGGAACATCTTCACATAAAAACTAGACAGAAGCATTCTTAGAAAATTCTTTGTGATGTGTGCATTCATCTCACAGAGTTGAATCTTTCTTTTGTTTCAGTAGTTGGGAAACAGTCTTTTTGTAGAATCTGCAAATGGATATTTGGAGTGCTTTGAGGCCTATGGTGAAAAAGGAAATATCTTCACATGAAAACTAGACAGAAGCATTCTGAGAAACTTCTTACTTGTGAAGAGTGCACTCATCTCACAGCATTGAACCTTCCTTTTGATAGAGCAGTTTGGAAACACTCTTTTAGTAGAACCTGTAAATGGATATTTAGAGCCCCTTGAGTCCTTTGGTGAAAAAGGAAATATCTTCACATAAAAACTAGACAGAAGAATTCTCAGAAACTAATGTGTTATGTGTTCATTCAACTCACAGAGTTGAAACTTTCTTTTGATTGAGCAGTTTGTAAACACCCTTTTCATAGTATCTGCACAGGGATATTTTTGAGTCCTTTATGGCCTTTACTGAAATAGGAAGTATCCTCACATAAAAACCAGACAGAAGCTTTTGGAGAAACTTCTTTGTGAGGGGTGCATTCATCTCACAGAGTTGAAACTTTCTTTAGATTGAGCAGTTTGTAAACGCTCGTTTCATGGTATCTGCACACAGATATTTTTGAGTTTTTTTTGGCCTTTGGGAAATAGGAAGTATCTTCACATAAAAACTAGACAGAAGCTTTCTGAGAAACTTCTTTGTGATGTATGCTTTCATCTCAAAGACTTGAAACTTTCTTTTGATTGAGCATTCTGGAAAATGTCTTTTGTAGAATCTGCAAATGGATATTTGGAGGGCTTTGAGGCCTACAGTGAAAAAGGAAATATCTTCACATAAAAACTAGACAGAAGCATTCTGAGAAACTTCCTTGTGATGTGTGCTTTCATCTCACAGAGTTGAATCTTTCTATTGATGGCACACTTTGGAAACAGTCTTTTTGTAGTATCTGCAAAGGGATATTCGTGACTGGTTTAAGGCCTATGGTGAAAAAAGGAAACGTCTTCACATAAAAACTAGATGGAACCATTCTGAGAAACATGTTTTTGATGTGTGCTTTCATCTCACAAAGTTGAACCTTCCTTTGATTGAGCAGTTTGCAAAAACTCTTTTTGTAGAATCTGCAAATGGATATTTGGAGTGCTCTGAGGCCCGTGGTGAAAAAGGAAATATCCACATAAAAACTAGACAGAAGCATTCTGAGAAACTTCTTTGTGATGTGTGTGTTCGTCTCATGGAGTTGCACCTTTATTTTCATTAAGCAGGTTGAAGACACTCTTTTTGTAAAATCTGCAAGTGGATATTTGGAGCACTTTGAGGCCTATGGTGAAAAAGGAAATATCCTCACATAGAAACTACACAGAAGCATTCTGAGAATCTTCTTTAGGATGTGTGCATTCATTTCACAGAGTTAAACCTTTCTTTTGATTGAGCAGTTTTGAAACAGTCTTTTTGTAGAATCTACAAATGGATATTTGGAGCACTTTGAGGCCTATGGTGAAAAAGGAAATATTTCACATAAAAACTAGACAGAAGCATTCTGAGAAACTTCTTTTTGATGTGTGAATTTACCTCACAGAGCTGAACCTATCTTTTGATCACACAGGATGCACACACTCTTTTTGCAGAATCTGCAAATGGATATTTGGAGCGCTTTGAGGCCTATGGTGAAAACGGAAATATCTTCACATATAAACTTGACAGAAGCATTCTGAGAAACTTGTTTGTGATGTGTGCATGCATCTAGCAGCGTTGACCCTTTCTTTTGATTGGGCAGGTTGGAAACACTCTTTTTGTAGTATCTGTAAAACGATATTCGGAAAGCTTTGAGGCCAATGGTGAAAAAGGGAATATCTTCACATAAAAACTAGACAAAAGCATTCTGAGAAACATCTTTGTGATGTGTGGATTCAATTCACAGAGTTGAACCTTTCCTTTGATAGAGCAGTTCGGAAACAATCTTTTCATAGAATCTGCACACGAATATTTGTGAGCCATTTTTGGCCTATGGTGAAATAGGAAATATCTTCACATAAAAACTAGACAGAAACTTTCTGAGAAACTTCTTTGTGACATGTACTTTCATCTCAAAGAGTTGAAACTTTCTTTTGATTGAGCAGCTGGGAAACAGTCTTTTTGTAGAATCAGCAAATGGATATTTGGAGTGCTTCCTGGCCTAAGGTGAAAAAGGAAATATCTTCACATAAAAACGAAACAGAATCACTCTGAGAAAGTTCTTTGTGACGTGTCATTCATTTCACAGAGTTGAACCTTTTTTTCAATGGAGCAGTTTGGAAACAGTCTTTTTGTAATATCTGCAGAGGGATATTTGTGACCGGTTTAATGCCTATGGTGAAAAAGGAAATATCTTCACATAAAAATTAGACAGAAGCATTCTGAGAAACTTCTTTGTGATGTGTGCATTCATTTCACAGAGGTGAACCTTTCCTTTGAGTGAGAAGGTTGGAAACACTCTTTTTGTAGGACCGGCAAATGGATATTTAGAGTAGTTTGGGGCCTATGGTGAAAAAGGAAATATCTTCACATAAAAACTACACAGAAGCATTCTGAGAAACTTCTTTGTGATTTGTGCATTCATCTCACAAAATAGAACCTTCCTTTTGATTGAGCAGTTTGGAAACACTCTTTTTGTAGATTCTGCAAATTGATATTTAGAGCACTTTGAGGCCTATGGTGAAAAAGGAAATATCTTCACATAAAAACTAGACAGTAGCATTCTGAGAAACTTCTTTGTGATGCTTGCATTCATCTTACAGAGTTGAACCTTTCTTATGATTGAGCAGTTTGTAAATAGTCTTTTTGTAGAATCTGCAAAGAGATATTTCCAAGCCCTTTGAGGTCTATGGTGAAAAAGAAATATGTTCACCAAAAAACTAGACAGAAGGATTCTGAGAAACTTCTTTTTTTTTTTATACTTTAAGTTTTAGGGTACATGTGCACATTGTGCAGGTGAGTTACATATGTATACATGTGCCATGCTGGTGCACTGCACCCACTAACTCGTCATCTAGCATTAGGTATATCTCCCAATGCTATCCCTCCCCCCTCCCCCCACCCCACAACAGTCCCCAGAGTGTGATGTTCCCCTTCCTGTGTCCATGTGATCTCATTGTTCAATTCCCACCTATGAATGAGAATATGCGGTGTTTGGTTTTTTGTTCTTGCGATAGTTTACTGAGAATGACGATTTCCAATTTCATCCATGTCCCTACAAAGGACATGAACTCACCATTTTTTTAGGGCTGCATAGTATTCCATGCTGTATATGTGCCACATTTTCTTAATCCAGTCTATCATTGTTGGACATTTGGGTTGGTCCCAAGTCTTTGCTATTGTGAATAATGCCGCAATAAACATACATGTGCACGTGTCTTTATAGCAGCATGATTTATAGTCATTTGGGTATATACCCAGTAATGGGATGACTGGGTCAAATGGTACTAGTTCTAGATCCCTGAGGAATCATCACACTGAATTCCACAATGGTTGAACTAGTTTACAGTCCCACCAACAGTGTAAAAGTGTACCTATTTCTCCACATCCTCTCCAGCACCTGTTGTTTCCTGACTTTTTAATGATTGCCATTCTAACTGGTGTGAGATGGTATCTCATTGTGGTTTTGATTTGCATTTCTCTGATGGCCAGTGATGGTGAGCATCTTTTAATGTGTTTTTTGGCTGCATAAATGTCTTCTTTTGAGAAGTGTCTGTTCATGTCCTTCGCCCACTTTTTGATGGGGTTGTTTGTTTTTTCTTGTAAATGTGTTTGAGTTCATTGTAGATTCTGGATATTAGCCCTTTGTCAGATGAGTAGGTTGCGAAAATTTTCTCCCATTTTGTAGGTTGCCTGTTCACTCTGATGGTAGTTTCTTTCGCTGTGCAGAAGATTTTAAGTTTAATTAGATCCCATTTGTCAATTTTGTCTTTTGTTGCCATTGCTTTTGGTGTGTTGGGCATGAAGTCCTTGCCCATGCCTATGTCCTGAATGGTAATGCCTAGGTTTTCTTCTAGGGTTTTTAAATCTTTAATCCATCTTGAATTGATTTTTGTATAAGGTGTAAGGAAGGGATCCAGTTTCAGCTTTCTACATAAGGCTAGCCAGTTTTCCCAGCACCATTTATTAAATAGGGAATCCTTTCCCCATTGCTTGTTTTTCTCAGGTTTGTCAAAGATCAGATAGTTGTAGATATGTGGCGTTATTTCTGAGGGCTCTGTTCTGTTCCATTGATCTATATCTCTGTTTTGGTAGCAGTACCATGCTGTTTTGGTGACTGTAGCCTTGTAGTGTAGTTTGAAGTCAGGTAGTGTGATGCTTCCAGCTTTGTTCTTTTGGCTTAGGATTGACTTGGCGATGCGGCCGTTTTTTGGTTCCATATGAACTTTAAAGTAGATTTTTCCAATTCTATGAAGAAAGTCATTGGTAGCTTGATGGGGATGGCATTGAATCTGTAAATTACCTTGGGCAGTATGGCCATTTTCACGATATTGATTCTTCCTACCCATGAGCATGGAATGTTCTTCCATTTGTTTGTATTCTCTTTTATTTCCTTGAGCAGTGGTTTGTAGTTCTCCTTGAAGAGGTCTTTCACATCCCTTGTAAGTTGGATTCCTAGGTATTTTATTCTCTTTGAAGCAATTGTGAATGGGAGTTCACTCATGATTTGGCTCTCTGTTTGTCTGTTGTTGGTGTATAAGAATGCTTGTGATTTTTGTACATTGATTTTGTATCCTGAGACTTTGCTGAAGTTGCTTATCAGCTTAAGGAGATTTTGGGCCGAGACAATGGGGTTTTCTATATATACAATCATGTCGTCTGCAAACAGGGACAATTTGACTTCCTCTTTTCCTAATCGAATACCCTTTATTTCCTTCTCCTGCCTAATTGCCCCGGCCAGAACTTCCAACATTATGTTGAATAGGAGTGGTGAGAGACGGCATCCCTGTCTTGTGCCAGTTTTCAAAGGGAATGCTTCCAGTTTTTGCCCATTCAGTATGATATTGGCTGTGGGTTTGTCATAGATAGCTCTTATTATTTTGAAATACATCCTATCAATACCTAATTTATTGAGAGTTTTTAGCATGAAGAGTTGTTGAATTTTGTCAAAGGCTTTTTCTGCATCTATTGAGATAATCATGTGGTTTTTGTCTTTGGTTCTGTTTATATGCTGGATTACATTTATTGATTTGCGTATATTGAACCAGCCTTGCCTCCCAGGGATGAAGCCCACTTGATCATGATGGATAAGCTTTTTGATGTGCTGCTGGATTCAGTTTGCCAGTATATTATTGAGGATTTTTGCATCAATATTCATCAAGGATATTGGTCTAAAATTCTCTTTTTTGGTTGTGTCTCTGCCTGGCTTTGGTGTCAGAATGATGCTGGCCTCATAAAATGAGTTAAGGAGGATTCCCTCTTTTTCTATTGATTGGAATAGTTTCAGAAGGAATGGCACCAGATCCTCCTTGTACCTCTGGTAGAATTCGGCTGTGAATCCATCTGGTCCTGGTCTCTTTTTGGTTGGTAAGCTCCTGATTATTGCCACAATTTCAGATCCTGTTATTGGTCTATTCAGAGATTCAACTTCTTCCTGGTTTAGTCTTGGGAGAGTGTATGTGTCAAGGAATTTATCCATTTCTTCTAGATTTTCTGGGTTATTTGCATAGAGGTGTTTGTAGTATTCTCTGATGGTAATTTGTATTTCTGTGGGATCGGTGGTGATATCCCCTTTATCATTTTTTATTGCATCTATTTGATTCTTCTCTCTTTTTTTCTTTATTAGTCTTGCTAATGATCTATCAATTTTGTTGATCCTTTCAAAATACCAGCTCCTGGATTCATTAATTTTTTGAAGGGATTTTTGTGTCTCTATTTCCTTCAGTTCTGCTCTGATTTTAGTTATTTCTGGCCTTCTGCTAGCTTTTGAATGTGTTTGCTCTTGCTTTCCTAGTTCTTTTAATTGTGATGTTAGGGTGTCAATTTTGGATCTTTCCTGCTTTCTCTTGTGGGCATTTAGTGCTATAAATTTCCCTCTACACACTGCTTTGAATGTGTCACAGAGATTCTGGTATGTTGTGTGTTCTCGTTGGTTTCAAAGAACATCTTTATTTCTGCCTTCATTTAGTTATGTACTCAGTAGTCATTCAGGAGCAGGTTGATCAGTTTCCATGTAGTTGAGCAGTTTTGAGTGAGATTCTTAATCCTGAGTTCTAGTTTGATTGCACTGTGGTCTGAGAGATAGTTTGTTATAATTTCTTTTCTTTTACATTTGCCGAGGAGAGCTTTACTTCAAAGTATGTGGTCAATTTTGGAATAGGCGTGGTGTGGTGTTGAAAAAAATATGTATTCTGTTGATTTGGGGTGGAGAGTTCTGTAGATGTCTATTAGGTCTGCTTGGTGCAGAGCTGAGTTCAATTCCTGGGTATCATTGTTGACTTTCTGTCTCGTTGATCTGTCTAATGTTGACAATGGGGTGTTAAAGTCTCCCATTCTTAATGTGTGGGAGTCTAAGTCTCTTTGTAGGTCACTCAGGACTTGCTTTATGAATCTGGGTGCTCCTGTATTGGGTGCATATATATTTAGGATAGTTAGCTCTTCTTGTTGAATTGATCCTTTTACCATTATGTAATGGCCTTCTTTGTCTCTTTTGATCTTTGTTGGTTTAAAGTCTGTTTTATCAGAGACTAGGATTGCAACCCCTGCCTTTTTTTTGTTTTCCATTTGCTTGGTAGATCTTCCTCCATCCTTTTATTTTGAGCCTATGTGTGTCTCTGCACATGAGATGGGTTTCCTGAATACAGCACGCTGATGTGTCTTGACCCTTTATCCAATTTACCAGTCTGTGTCTTTTAATTGGAGCATTTAGTCCATTTACATTTAAAGTTAATATTGTTATGTGTGAATTTGATCCTGTCATTATGATGTTAACTGGTTATTTTGCTCGTTAGTTGATGCAGTTTCTTCCTAGTCTCGATGGTCTTTACATTTTGGCATGATTTTGCAGCGGCTGGTACCGTTTGTCCTTTCTATGTTTAGCGCTTCCTTCAGGAGCTCTTTTAGGGCAGGCCTGGTGGTGACAAAATCTCTCAGCATTTGCTTGTCTGTAAAGTATTTTATTTCTCCTTCACTTATGAAGCTTAGTTTGGCTGGATATGAAATTCTGGGTTGAAAATTCTTTTCTTTAAAAAAGTTGAATATTGGTCCCCACTCTCTTCTGGCTTGTAGAGTTTCTGCCGAGAGATCCACTGTTAGTCTAATGGGCTTCCTTTTGAGGGTAACCCGACTTTTCTCTCTGGCTGCCCTTAACATTTTTTCCTTCATTTCAACTTTGGTGAATCTGACAATTATGTGTCTTGGAGTTGCTCTTCTCGAGGAGTATCTTTGTGGCATTCTCTTTATTTCCTGAATCTGAACGTTGGGCGGCCTTGCTAGATTGGGGAAATTCTCCTGGATAATATCCTGCAGAGTGTTTTCCAACTTGGTTCCATTCTCCCCATCACTTTCAGGTACACCAGTCAGATGTAGATTTGGTCTTTTCACATAGTCCCATATTTCTTGGAGGCTTTGCTCGTTTCTTTTTATTCTTTTTTCTCTAAACTTTCCTTCTCACTTCATTTAATTCATTTCATCTTCCATTGCTGATACCCTTTCTTCCAGTTGATCGCATTGGCTCCTAAGGCTTCCGCATTCTTCACGTAGTTCTTGAGCCTTGGTTTTCAGCTCCATCAGCTCCTTTAAGCACTTCTCTATATTGGTTAATCTAGTTATACATTCTTCTAAATTTTTTTGAAAGTTTTCAACTTCTTTGCCTTTGGTTTGAATGCCTCCCGTAGCTCAGAGTAATTTGATTGTCTGAAGCCTTCTTCTCTCAGCTCGTCAAAGTCATTCTCTGTTCAGCTTTGTTCCGTTGCTGGTGAGGAGCTGCCTTCCTTTGGAGGAGGAGAAGCACTCTGATTTTTACAGTTTCCAGTTTTTCTGTTCTGTTTTTTCCCCACCTTGGTGGTTTTATCTACTTTTGGTCTTGGATGATGGTGATGTACAGATGGGTTTTTGGTGTGGATGTCCTTTCTGTTTGTTAGTTTTCCTTCTAACAGAGAGGACCCTCAGCTGCAGGTCTGTTGGAGTACCCTGCAGTGTGAGGTGTCAGTGTGCGCCTGCTGGAGGGTGCCTCCCAGTTAGGCTGCTCGGGGGTCAGAGGTCAGGGACCCACTTGAGGAGGCAGTCTGCCTGTTCTCAGATCTCCAGCTGCATACTGGGAGAACCACTGCTGTCTTCAAAGCTGTCAGACAGGAATATTTAAGTCTGCAGAGGTTACTGCTGTCTTTTTGTTTGTCTGTGCCCTGCCCCCAGAGGTGGAGCCTACAGAGGCAGGCAGGCCTCCTTGAGCTGTGGTGGGCTCCACCCAGTTCGAGCTTCTGGGCTGCTTTGTTTACATAAGCAAGCCTGGGCAATGGTGGGCGCCCCTCCCCCAGCCTCGCTGCCGCCTTGCAGTTTGATCTCAGACGGCTGTGCTAACAATCAGTGAGACTCCATGGGGTAGGACCCTCCAAGCCATGTGCGGGATATAATCTCGTGGTGTGCCGTTTTTTAAGCCCGTTGGAAACGTGCAGTGTTCGGGTGGGAGTGACCCGATTTTCCAGGTGCCGTCCATCACCCCTTTCTTTGATTAGGAAAGGGAACTCCCTGACCCCTTGCACTTCCCGAGTGAGGCAATGCCTCACTCTGCTTTGGCTCGCGCATGGTGCGTGCACCCACTGACCTGTGCCCACTGTCTGGCACTCCCTAGTGAGATGAACCCGGTACCTCAGATGGAAATGCAGAAATCACCCATCTTCTGCGTCGCTCAGGCTGGGAGCTGTAGACTGGATCTCTTCCTATTCGGCCATCTTGGCTCTGAAACTTTCCTTTGGCTGAGCAGTTTGGAAACACTCTTTTTGTAGAATCTGCAAATGCATATTTGGAATGCTTTGAGCGCTATGGTAAAAAAGGAAATATCTTCACATAAAAACTAAACAGAAGCTTTCTGAGAATCTTCTTAGTGATGTGTGCATTCATCTCACAGAGTTGAACCTTTCTTTTGATTGAGCAGTTTAGAATAATGGGATGGCTGGGTCAAATGGTATTTCTAGTTCTAGATCCCTGAGGAATCGCCACACTGACTTCCACAATGGCTGAACTAGTTTACACTCCCACCAACAGTGTAAAAGTGTTCCTATTTCTCCACATCCTCTCCAGCACCTGTTGTTTCCTGACTTTTTAATGACTGCCATTCTAACTGGTGTGAGATGGTATCTCATTGTGGTTTTGATTTGCATTTCTCTGATGGCCAGTGATGGTGAGCATTTTTTCATGTGTTTTTTGGCTGCATAAATGTCTTCTTTTGAGAAGTGTCTGTTCATATCCTTCACTCAATTTTCAATAGTTTTTTTTTTCTTGTAAATTTTGTTTGAGTTCATTGTAGATTCTGGATATTAGCCCTTTGTCAGATGAATAGGTTGTGAAAATTTTCTCCCATTTTGTAGGTAGCCTGTTCACTCTGATGGTAGTTTCTTTTGCTGTGCAGAAGCTTTTTAGTTTAACTAGATCCCATTTGTCAATTTTGGATATTATTGCCATTGCTTTTGGTGTTTTAGACATGAAGTCCTTGCCCATGCCTATGTCCTGAATGGTATTGCCTAGGTTTTCTTCTAGGGTTTTTATGGTTTTACATCTAACATGTAGTTCTTCAATCCATCTTCAATTAATTTTTATATAAGGTGTAAGGAAGGGATCCAGTTTCAGCTTTCTACATATGGCTGGCCAGTTTTCCCAGCACCATTTATTAAATAGGGAATCCTTTCCCCATTGCTTGTTTTTCTCAGGTTTGTCAAAGATCATATGTTTTTTGATATGTGGTGTTATTTCTGAGGGCTCTGTTCTGTTCCATTGATCTATATCTCTGTTGTGGTACCAGTACCATGTTGTTTTGGTTACTGTAGCCTTGTAGTATAGTTTGAAGTCAGGTAGCATGATGCCTCCAGCTTTGTTCTTTTGGCTTAGGATTGACTTGGTGATGCAGGCTCTTTTTTGGTTCCATATGAACTTTAAAGCAGTTTTTTCCAATTCCGTGAAGAAAGTCATTGGTAGCTTGATGGGGATGGCATTGAATCTATAAACAACCTTGGGCATTTTGGCCATTTTCATGATATTGATTCTTCCTACTCATGAGCATGGAATGTTCTTTTATTAGTTTGTATCCTCTTTTATTTCGTTGAGCAGTGGTTTGTAGTTCTCCTTGAAGAAGTCCTTCACATTCCTTGTAAGTTGGATTCGTGGGTATTTTATTCTCTTTGAAGGAATTGTGAATGGGATGCAGCCAAAAAACACATGAAAAGATGCTCACCATCACTGGTCATCAGATAAATGGAAATCAAAACCACAATGAGATACCATCTCACACCAGTTAGAATGGCAATCATTAAAAAGTCAGGAAACAACATGTGCTGGAGAGGATGTGGAGAAATAGGTACACTTTTACACTGTTGGTGGGACTGTAAACTAGTTCTATCATTGTGGAAGTCACTGTGGTGACTCCTCAGGGATCTAGAACTAGAAATACCATTTGACCCAGCCATCCCATTACTGGGTATATACCCAAAGGACTATAAATCATGCTGCTATAAAGACACACGGACACGTATGTTTATTGCGGCTCTATTCACAATTGCAAAGACTTGGAACCAACCCAAATGTCCAACAATGATAGACTGGATTAAGAAAATGTGGCACATATACACCATGGAATACTATGCAGCCTTAAAAAATGGTGAGTTCATGTCCTTTGTAGGGACATGGATGAAATCGGAAATCATCATTCTCAGTAAACTATCACAAGGACAAAAAACCAAGCACCGCATGTTCTTGCTCATAGGTGGGAATTGAACAATGAGAACACATGTACACAAGAAGGGGAACATCACACACTGGAGACAGTTGTGGGGTGAGGGGAGGGTGGAGGGATAGCATTAGGAGATATACCTAATGCTAAATGATGAGTTAATGGGTGCAGCACACCAGCATGGCACATGTATACGTATGTAACTAACCTGCGTGTTGTGCACATGTACTCTAAAATTTAAAAAAGTATAATAACAAAATAATATATATATAGAACAATATTTTAAGGAATAAAAAAAGAAAGAAAAACAAACGTTTACATTTGTGAGATAAATTCACACATCACAAAGTATTTTCTGAGAATGCTTCTGTCTAGTTTTCATGTGAAGATATTTCCTTTTTTACCATAGGCCTTAAACTGTTCAGAAATATCCCTCTGCATATACTACCAAAAGACTGTTTCCAAACCGCTCCATCGAAAGAAAGGTTCAACTCTGTGAGATGAATGCACACATCCAACGAAGTTTCTCAGTAAGATTCTGTCTAGATTTATATGAAGATATTTCATTATTCAACGTAGGTCTCAAAGCTCTGAAAAATGTCCCTTTACAGATTCTAGAAGAACAAAATTTCCAAACTGCTCAATGAAAATAAACATTTACCTCTGTGAAATGAAGGTGAACATCACAGAGCAGTTTCTCAGAAAGCTTCTGTCTTGTTTTTATGTGAATATATTTCCTTTTTCACCATAGGTCTCAAAGCACTCACAAGTATCCCTTTGCCGATACTGGAAGATTCGAGTTTCCAAAGTGCTCTATGAAAAGGAACGTTTACCTCTTTGAGATGAATGCAAACATCACAAAGCAGTTTCTCAGAAAGATTCTTTCTGATTTATATGTGAAGATATTTCCTTTTTCGCCATAGGCCATGACATGCTCCCAAATATCCCTTTTCAGATTCTGCAAAAAACACTCTTTCCAAACTTCTCAGTCAAAAGAATTGTTCAACTCTGTGAGATGAATGCATACATCCAAAGAAATTTCTCAGAAAGCTTCTCTCTAGATTTATGTGAAGATATTTCATTTTTCAACATAGGTCTCAAAGCACTGACTAATATTTCTTTGCAGATTCTATAAGAGCAGAGTTTCCAAACTGCTCAATGAAAAGAAACATTTACCTCTGTGAGATGAATGGGCAAATCACAAAGCTGTTTCTCAGAAAGTTCCTTTGCAGTTTTTATGTGAAGATATTTCCTTTTTCACCATAGGGCTCAAAGTGCTCACAAATATCCCTTTGCAGATTCTAGAAGAACAGAGTTTCCAAACTACTCAATCATCAGAAAATTTAATCTCTGTGAGATGAATGCACACTTCACAAAGCAGCTTCTCTAAAACTTCTTTATAGTTTTTATGGGAAGATATATTTCCTTTTTCACCATATGCCTCAATACGCTCCCAAATATCCCTTTGCAGATTCTGAAAAAAAGACTGTTTCTAAACTGCTCAATCAAAACAAAGGTTCAACTCTGTGAGATGAATGCACACATCACAAAGAAATTTCTCAGAAAAATTCTGTCTAGTTTTTATGTGAAGGTATTTCCTTTTTCACCAGTGCCCCTAACCACTCACAAATATCCCTTTGCAGATACTACAAAAAGACTGTTTTGAAATTGCTCAACAAAAAGAATGGTTCATCTCTGTGAGATGAATGCACACGTCACAAAGAAGTTTCTCAGAAAGCTTCTGTCTATTTTTTATGTGACGAAATTAACATTTTCATCATAGGCCTCAAAGCGCACAAAAATATCCCTTTGTAGATTTTAGAAGAACAGAGTTTCCAAACTCCTCAATAAAAAGAAATATTTAACTCTGAGAGATGAATGCACACATCACAAAGCAGTTTCTCAGAAATCTTCTTTCTAGTTTTTATGTGAAGATATTTCCTTTTTCACCATAGACCTCACCGTGTTTGTAAATATCCATTTGCAGATTCTACAAAAAGACTGTTTCCAAACTACTCTATCAAAACAATGATTCAACTCTGTGAGATGAATGCACTCATCATACAGAACTTTCTTAGAATGGTTCATTCCAGTTTTTATGTGAAGATATTTCGTTTTTTACAGTAGGCCGCAATGCGCTCCCAAACAATCCTTTACAGATTCTAAAAAAGACAGTTTCCAAATTGCTCAATGAAAAGAAAGGTTCAACTCCATGAGACGAATGCACCCATCATGAAGAGGTTTCTCAGAAAGCTTCTTTCTAATTTTTATGTGAAGATATCTCCTTTTTCACCACAGGCCTCAATGAACTCCCAAATATCCTTTTGGAGATTCTACAAAAAAAGACTGTTTTCAAACTCCCCAATCAAAAGAATGGTTCAAATCTGTGAGATGAATGCACACATCATGAAGATGTTTCTCAGAAAGCTTCTCTCTAGTTATTTTGTGATGATATTTCCTTTTTCACCATAGGCCTCAAAGCACTCACAAATATCCCTTTACAGATTCTACAAAAGGTCTGTTTCCAAACTGTTTCCAAACTCCTCAATAAAAAATATGGTTCATCTCTGTGAGATGAATGCACACACATCACAAAGAAGTTTCTCAGAAAGCTTCTATCTAGTTTTTATGTGACGATATTTCCTTTATCACCATAGTCCTCAAAGCGCTCACAAATACCACATTGCAGATTCCACAAAAAGACTGTTTTGACACTACTCAATGAAAAGAAAAGTTCACTTCTGTGAGATGAATGCACGCATCACAAAGCAGTTTCTCAGACAGCTTATTTCTAGTTTTACATAAAGATATTTCCTTATTCACCCTAGGCCTCAACATACTCCCAAATAACCCTTGGCAGATTCTAGAAAAAGAAAGTTTCCATACTGCTCAATCAAAAGAATGTCCATCTCTATTAGATGAATGCACACATCACAAAGAATTTTCCCAGAAAGCTTCTTTCTGATTTCTATGTGAGGATGTTTCCTTTTTCACCATAGGTCCCAACATGCTCCCAAATATCCCTTTGCAGATTCCAGAAAAAGAAATTTTACAAACTGCTCAATCAAAAGAATGGTTCACTTCTGTGAGATGAATACACACATCACAAAGAACTTTTCCAGAAAGCTTCTGTCTAGTTTCTATATGAAGATATTTCCTTTTTCACCACAGGCCTCAAGGCACTCACACATATCAATTTGCACACTCCAGAAGAACAGAATTTCCAAACTGCTCAATGAAAGGAATCATTTACCTCTGTAAGATGAATGCACACATCAAAAAGCCGTTCCTCAGAAATCTTCTTCCTAGTTTTTATGTGAAGATATTTCCTTTTTCAACTTAGGTTTCAATGTGCTCCCAAATATCCCTTTGCAGATTATACAAAAAAACTGTTTCCAAACTGCTCAATTAATAGAAAGGTTCAGCTCCATGAGATGAACGTACACACCACAAAGAAGTTTCCCAGAAAACTTCTGTCTAGTTTTCATGTGAGGATAGTTCCTTTTTCACCATAGGACATAAACACTGAAAAATATCCCTTTGCAGATTACAGAAGAACAAAGTTTCCAAACTTCTCAATGAAAAGGAATGCTTACCACCATGAGATGAATGCATACATCACAAAGCCGTTTCTCAGAAAGCTTCTTTCTAGTTTTTATGTGAAGATATTTCTTTTTTCACCATAGACCTCAATGTGCTCCAAAATATCCCCTTGCAGATAATACAAAAAGACTGTTTCCAAACTGCTCAATCAAAAGCTTGTTTCAGCTCTGTGAGATCAATGCACACATCACAAAGAAGTTTCTCAGAAAGCTTCTGTCTAGTTTTTATGTGAAGATATTTCCTCCTTCACCATAGGCCTCAAAGCACTCAAAATTATCCCTTTGCAGATTTTCAAGAACAGAGTTTCCAAACTGCACAATGAAAAGAAAGGTTTACCTCTGTGAGTTGAATGCACTCATAACAAAGCAGTTTCTCACAAAGCTTCTTTGTATTTTTTATGTGAAGGCATTTCCTCT
The DNA here is from genome assembly GCF_000001405.40 of Homo sapiens. Classification (NCBI taxonomy): domain Eukaryota; kingdom Metazoa; phylum Chordata; class Mammalia; order Primates; family Hominidae; genus Homo; species Homo sapiens. Next base: position 41,809,900 of record NC_000010.11, read on the forward strand.
TACACCATAGGTCCCAAAGTGATCCCCAATATCCCTTTGCAGATTCTACAAAAAGACTTTCCAAACTGCTCAGTCAAAAGAATGGTTCATCTCTGTGAGATAAATGCACACATCAAAAAGAAGTTTCTCAGAAAGCTTATCTTTAGTTTTTAAGGGGCGATATTTCTTTTTTAATCTTAGGCCTCAAAAAACTCACAAATATCCCTTTGCAGATTCTAGAAGAAAAGAATTTCCTAACTGCTCAATGAAAAGAAACCTTTATCTCTGTGAGATGAATGCACACATCACAAAGCAGTTTCTCAGAAAGCTTCTTTGTAGTTTTTATGTGAAGATATTTCCTTTTTCACCATGGGCCTCAATGTGCTCCCAAATATCTCCTTGCAGTTACTACAAAAAGACTGTTTCCAAACTGCTCAATCAAAACAAAGGTTCAACTCTTTGAGGTGAATGCACACATCACAAAGAAGCTTGTGAGAAAGCTTATGTCTAGTTTTTATGTGAAGATATTTCCTTTTTCAACATAAGCCTCAATGCACTCCCAAATATCCTTTTGCGGATTCTACAGAAAGACTTTTTCCAAACTGCTGAATCAAAATAATTGTTGAACTCTGTGAGATGAATGCACACATCAGGAATAAACTTCTAAGAAAGCTTCTGTCTAGTTTCTATATGAAGATATTTCCTGTCTGGAAGCCTCACAAATATCCCTTTGCAGATTCTACAAAAATACTGATTTGCACTCCTCAATGAAAAGAATCATTTAGCTCTGGGAGATGAATGCACAAGTCACAGAGCAGTTTCTCAGAATGCTTTTTCTAGTTTTTTTGCATAGATATTTCCTTTTGCACCCTAGGCCTGAATGTGCGCCCAAATATCCCTTTGCAGATTTCACAAAAAGACTGTTTCCAAATTGGTCAATAAAAAGTGTGGTTCAAGTCTGAGAGATTAAAGCACACATCACAAAGAATTTTCCCAGAAAGCTTCTGTCTAGTTTTTATGTGAAGATATTGCATTTTTCACCATATGCCTCAAAGCACTCACAAATATCCCTTTCCGTATTCTAGAAGAAAAGAGTTTCCAAACTCCTCAATGAAAAAGAAATGTTTACCTCTGTGAGATGAATGGACACATCATGAAGCATTTTCTCAAAAAGGTTCTTTGTAGCTTTTATTTGAAGGTATTTCCTTTTTCACCATAGGCCTCAACGTGCTCCCACTTATCCCTTTGCAGACTCTACAAAAGACATTTTACAAACTGCTCAATCAAAAGAATGGTTCAACTCTGTGAGATGAATGCACACATCACAAAGAATTTTCCCAGAAAGCTTATGTCTAGTTTTTATGGGAACATATTTCCATTTTCACCATAAGCCTCAAAGCACTCTCAAATATCCCTTTGCAGATTCTAGAAGAACAGAGTTTCCAAACTTCTCAATGAATGGAAACATTTACCTCTGTGGGTTTAATGCACACATCACAAAGAAGTTTCTCAGAATGCATCTGTCTAGTTTTTATGTGAAGATATTTCCTTTTCCACCATAGGCCTCAAAGCAATCCAAATATCCACTTGCAGATTCCACAAAAAGAGTGTTTCAAAACTGTTTAATCAAAAGAAATTTTCAACTAACCCTGTCAGATGAATGCATACATCACAAAGAAATGTCTCAGAAAGCATCTGTCTAGTTTTTATGTGAAGATATATCCTTTTTCACCATTGGCCTCAACTGGTTTCCAAACATTCCTTTGCAGATCCTACAGAAAGACTTCTTTGAAACTGCTCATCAAAAGATCATTCAACACTATGAGATGAATGCACACATCAGAAAGAAGTTTCTCGAAAATCTTGTGTCTTGTTTCTATGTGAAGATATTTCCTTTTACATGATACCCCTCAAAGAAAAAGCAGTTTCTCAGAAAGCTTCTTGGCAGTTTTTATGTGAAGATATTTACTTTTTCACCATAGGCCTCAAATATGCTCTAAAATATCCCTTTGCAGATTCTACAAAAAGACTATTTCCAAACTGTTCAAGCAAAAGCATGGTTCAACTTTGTGAGATGAATGCACACATCACAAAGTAATTTCTCATAAAGATTCTGTCTAGTTTTTGTGTGAAGATATTTCTTTTTCACAATAGGCCAAAAAAGGTTCAAAAATACCCCTTGGCTGATCTTAGAAGAATAGAGTTTTCAAACTACTCAATAATAAGTAACGTTTACCTCTGTAAGATGAATGCACCCATCACAAAGCAGATTCTCAGAAAACTTCTTTGTCGTTTTTATGTGAAAATGTTTCCTTTTCTACCATAGGCCTCCACATGCTACTAAATAACCATTTGCAGATTCTACAAAAGGACAGTTGCCAAACTGCTCATTCAAAAGAATGGTTCAACTCCGTGAGATGAATGGACACATCACAAAGACTATTCCCAGAAAGCTTTTGTCTAGTTTTTATGTGATGATATTTTCTTTTTCACCATAGACCTTAAAGTGCTCGCTCACAAATATCCCTTTGCAGAGTCTACAAAGAGACTTTTTGCAGACTGCTTAATCAAAAGAAAGGTTCTAGTCTGTGAGATGAATGCACACATTACAAAGAAGTTTTCAGAAATCTTCTGTCTAGTTTTTATGTGAAGATAATTCCATTTTCACCATAGGCCTCAAAGTGCTCACAAATATTTCTTTCATGATTCCAGAAGAACAGTGTCCAAATTCCTAAATGAAAAGAATATTTTACCTCTGTTATATGAATGTACACATCACAAAGCCTTTCTCAGAATGCTTCTTTTTGTTTTTATGTGAACATATTTACTTTTTCTCCATAGGCCTCAAGATGATCCCAAATTTCCCTTTGCAAATTCTAGAAGAAGAGAGTTTCCAAACTGCTCATTGAAAATAAACTTTTATCCATGTGAGATGAATGCACACATCACAAAGCAGTTTCTCAGAAAGCTTCTATGTAGTTTTTACGTGAAGATATTTCCTTTCTCACCATAGGCCTCAACGTTCTCCCAAATATCCCATTGGAGATTGTATAAAAAGTCTTCTTCCAAACTGCTCAATCAGAAAAACGGTTCACCTCTGTGAGATGAATGCACACATTACAAATTAGTTTCTGAGAAAGCTTCTTTCTAGTTTTTATATCAAGATATTTCCTTTTACACCATAGTCCTCAATGCACTCCCAATTATCCCTTTGCAGATTCTGCAAAAAGACTGTTTCCAAACAGCTCAATCAAGATAACAGTCAAAATCTGTGAGATGAATGCACAAATCAGCAAGAATTTTCCCAGAAAACTTCTGTATAGTTTTTATGTGAAGATATTTCCTTTTTCACCCTAGGCCACATAGCACTCACAAATATCCCTTTGCCAATTCTAGAAGACAGAGTTTCCAAACTGTTCAATGAAAAGAAAAATTTACCTCTGTTGGGTGAATGCACACATCACAAAGCCGTTTCTCAGAAAGCTTCTTACCAGTTTTAATGTGAAGATATTTACTTTTTCACCATAGGCCTCAACGTGCTCCCATATATCCATTGCAGATTCTACAAAAAGACTGTTTCCAAACTGCTCCATCAAAAGAATGGTTCAACTTTGTGAGATGAATGCAAACATCACAAAGAAGTTTCTCAGAAATCTTCTGTCTATGGTTTATTTGATGATATTTCATTTTCCACCATGAGCCTCAAAGCACTCATCAATATCCTTTTGCCGATTCTAGAAGAACAGAACTTCCAAACTACTCAATGAAAAGAAACTTTTACCTCTGTGAGATGAATGTGCACATAACAAAGAAGTTTCTCAGAAAGCTTCTTTCTAGCTTTATTTGAAGATATTTCATTTTTCACCATAGTCCTAAAATCAATCACAGCATCCCTTTGCAGATTCCACAGAAAACTGTTTCCAAACTGCTCAATTAAAAGAATGGTTCAACTCTGTGAGATGAATACACACATCACAACCAATTTTTCTGGGAAGCTTCTGTCTAGTTTTTATGTGAAGATAATTACTTTTTCACCATAGGCCTCAAAGCACTCACAAATATCCCTTTGCAGATTTTAGAAGAACAGAGAACTCTGTAGTATGAATGTACACATCACAAAGAAGTTTCTCAGATAGCTTCTGTCTAGTTTTTATGTGGAAATATTTCATTTTTCACCATAGGCCTCAAAGTGCTTACATGTATCCCTTTGCCAATCCTAGAACAGAGTTTCTAATCTGTTCAATGAAAAGAAACTTTTACCTCTGTGAGATGAATGCACACATCACAAAGCAGTTTCTCAGAAGGCAACTTTCTAATTTTTTTGTGATGATATTTCCTTTTTGACCATAGGCCTCAACGTACTCCCAAATAACCCTTTGCAGATTCTACAGAAAGACTGTTTCCAAACTGCTCAGTCAAAAGGATGGTTCCAATCTCTGAGATGAATGCACATTTCACAAAAAAGTTTCTCAGAAATCTTCATTCTTGCTTTTATGTGAAGACATTTCCTTTTTCACCATACGCCACAAATGGATCACAAATATCCCTTTGGAGATCCTACAAAAAGACTGTTTCCAAACTGCTCAATGAAAAGAAAAGTTCAACTCTGTGTGATGAATGCGCACATCACAAAGAAGTTTCTCAGAAAGCTTCTGTCTTGTTTTTATGTGGAGATATTTCCTTTTTCACCATAAGCCTGAAACTGCCTACATATATCCCTTTGCAGATTCTCCAAAAAATACTGTTTCCAAAGTATTCAATAAAAAGAAATGTTAAGCTCTGTGAGATGAATGCACACATCACAAAGAAGTTCCTCAGAAAGTATGTGTCTAGTTTTTATGTGAAGACATTTCCTGTTTCAACATAGGCCACAAACGGATCACAAATATCCCTTTGAAATTCTCCAAAAAGACTATTTCCAAACTGCTCAATCAAAACAAAGGTTCAACTCTGTGAGATGAATGCACACATCACAAAGTAGTTTCTCAGAAAGTTTCTCTGTAGTTTTTATGTGAAGATATTTACTTTTTCACCATAAGACTCAAAACGTTTAAAAATATCACTTTGCGGATTCTACAAAAAGACAGTTTCCAAACTGCTCAATCAAAAGAATGGTTCAACTCTGTGAGACAAATGTACACAACACAAAGAAGTTTTTCTGTGTAGTTTTTATGTGAATATATTTCCTTTCTAACCATAGGCCTCCATCCACTCAGAAATATCCCTTTTTAGATTCTCCAAAAAGACTGTTTCCAAACTGCTCAAGCAAAAGTGATGTTCAAATCTGTGTGATGAATGCACACATCACAAAGAAGTTTCTCAGAAAACTTCTGTCTAGCTTTTATGTGAGGATATTTCCCTTTTCACAATATGCCTCAAACCACCTACATGTATCCCTTTGCAGATTCTACAAAAAGACTGCTTCCAAACTGCTCAATCAAGAGAAAATTACAACCTTGTGAGATGAATGCACACATGACAAAGAAGTTTCTCAGAAAACTTCTGTCTAATTTTTTATGTGAAGGCATTTCCTTCTTCACCATAGGCCACAAATGGATCAAAAATATCCCTTGCGGATTCCCCAAAAAGACTGTTTCCAAACTGCTCAATCAAAAGTAAGCTTCAAATCTGTGAGATGAATGCACACATTACAAAGAAGTTTCTCAGAAAGCTTCTGTCTAATTTTTTATGTGAAGGCATTTCTTTTTTCACCATAGGCCACAAATGGATTAAAAATATCCCTTGCAGATTCCCCAAAAAGACTGTTTCCAAACTGCTCAATCAAAACAAAGGTTCAACTCTGTGAGATGAATGCACACATCACAAGGAAGTTTCTCACAAAACTTCTGTCTAGTTTTTATGTGAAGATGTTTACTTTTTCACCATAAGCCCCAAAGCATTCAAAAATATCAGTTTGCAGATTCTACAAAAAGACTGTTTCCAAATTGCTCAATCAAAGGGACAGTTCACTCTTTGAGACGAATGAACACTTCACGAAGAAGTGTTTCTGTGTAGTTTTTATGTGAATATATTTTCTTTCTCACCATAGTCCTCAAACTGCTCACAAATATCCCTTTGTAGATTCCCAAAAAGACTGTTTCCAAACTGCTCAATTGAAAGAGATGTTCAACCCTGTGTGATGAATGCACACATAAAAAAAAAAGTTTCTCAGAAACCTTCTGTCTAGTTTTTATGTGAAGAGAATTCCTTTTTCACCACAGGCCTGAAAGTGCAAATAAATGTTCCTTTGTACGTTCCAGAAAAAGACTGTTTCCAAACCATACAATCAAAAGAAAGGATCAACTTTGTGTGATGAATGCACACATCGCAAAGGATTTTCTCAGAAATCTTACAATGTAGTTTTTATATGAAGGTATTTCCTTTTTCACAATAGGCCTCAAACCACCTTCATATATCCCTTTTCAGATTCTACAAAAAGACTGTTTCTGAACATCTCAATCAAAAGAAAGGTTCAACTCTTTGTGATTAATGTGCACTTCACAAAGAAGTTTGTCAGAAAGCTTCTGTCTATTTTTTGTGTGAAGATATTTCCTTTTTCACCTTAGGCCTCAAACTGCCTACATATATCCCTTTGCAGATTCCACAAAAAGACTGTTTCCAAACTATTCAATCAAAAGAAAATTCAACTCTGTGAGAATAATGCACACATCACAAGAAGTTCCTCAGAAAGTTTGTGTCTAGTTTTTATTTGAAGACATTTCCTTTTTCACCATAGACCACAACTGGATCACAAATATCCCTTTGCATATTCTTCAAAAAGGCTTTTTCCAAAGTACGTAGTGAAAACAAATGTTCAACTATGTGAGATGAATGCACACATCACAAAGAGGTTTGTCACAAAGATTCTGTCTAGTTTTTATGTGAATATATTTCCTTTCTCACCATAAGACTCAAAGCTTTCACAAATATCACTTTGCAGATTCTACAAAAAAACTGTTTCTAAACTTCTAAATCAAAAGAATGGTTGAACTCCGTGAGATGAAAGAACACATCAAAAAGAAGTTTCTCAGAAAGTTTCTGTCTAGTTTTTATGTGAATATGTTTAATTTCTCACCATTGATCTCAAACCGCACAAAAATATCCCTTTACAGATTCTACAAAAAGACTGTTTACAATCTGCTCAACCAAAATAACAGTTACACTCTGTGAGATGAATACACACATCACAAGGAAGTTTCTCAGAAAGATTTTGTCTAGTTTTTATGTGAAGATACTTCCTTTTTCACCATAGGCCTCAAAGCATACACAAATATCACTTCGCAGATTCTAGAAAAAGACTGTTTCCAAACTGCTCAATCAAAAGAATAGTTCTACTCTGTGAGACTAGTGAACACATCACAAAGAAGTTTATCAGAAAACTTTGGTCTAGTTGTTTTTTTGTGAATATATTTCCTTTCTCACCATAGGCCAAAAACTGCTCACAAATACACCTTTGCAGATTCCCCAAAAAGACTGTTTCCAAACTGCTCCATCAAAAGAGATGTTCAACTCTGTGTGATGAATGCACACATCACAAAGCAGTTACTCAGAAAGCTTTTCTGTTTGTTTTTTTTTCATTATTATACTTTAAGTTTTAGGGTACATGTGCACAATGTGCAGGTTAGTTACATATGTAAACATGTGCCACACTGGTGCGCTGCACCCACTAACTCGTCATCTAGCATTAGGTATATCTCCCAATGCTATCCCTCCCCCTTCCCCTAACCCCACAACAGTCCCCAGAGTGTGATGTTCCCATTCCTGTGTCCATATGTTTTCATTGTTCAATTCCCACGTATGAGTGAGAATATGTGATGTATGATTTTTTGTTCCTGCGATAGTTTACTGAGAATGTTGATTTCTAATTTCATTCATGTCCCTACAAAGGACATGAAGTCACAGTTTTTTATGGCTGCATAGTATTCCATGGTGTATATGTGCCACATTTTCTTAATCCAGTCTATCATTGTTGGACATTTGGGTTGGTTCCAAGTCTTTGCTATTGTGAATCATGCCACAATAAACGTATGTGTGCGTGTGTCTTTGTAGCAGCACGATTTATAGTCATTTGGGTATATACCCAGTAATGGGATGGCTGGGTCAAATGGTATTTCTAGCTCTAGATCCCTAAGGAATCACCACACTGACTTCCACAATGATTGAACTAGTTTACAGTCCCACCAACAGTGTAAAAGTGTTCCTATTTCTCCACATCCTCTCCAGCACCTGTTGTTTCCTGACTTTTTAATGAACACCCTTCTAACTAATGTGAGATGATATCTCACTGTGGTTTTGATTTGCATTTCTCTGATGGCCAGTGATGGTGAGCATTTTTTCATGTGTTTTGTGGCTGCATAAACGTCTTCTTTTGAGAAGTGTCTGTTAATGTCCTTCACCCACTTTTTGATGGGGTTGTTTGTTTTTTTCTTGTAAATTTGTTTGAGTTCATTGTAGATTCGGGATATTAGCCCTTTGTCAGATGAGTAGGTTGCAAAAATTTTTGCAATCGTGTGGGAGTCACCCGATTTTCCAGGTGCCATCTGTCACCCCTTTCTTTGACTAGGAAAGGGAACTCCCTGACCCCTTGCACTTCCCGAATGAGGCAATGCCTTGCCCTACTTCGGCTTGCGCACGGTGCACTGCACCCACTGACCTGAGCCCACTGTCTGGCACTCCCTAGTGAGATGAACCCGGTACCTCAGATGGAAATGCAGAAATCACCCATCTTCTGCCTCACTCATCCTGGGAGCTGTAGACTGGAGCTGTTGCTATTCGGCCATCTTGACTCTGCTTCTTTGTTGTTTTTATGTGAATATAATTCCTTTATCACAATAGGCTTCAACACTCTCCCAAATATCCCTTTGCAGATTCTACAAAAACACCACTTCCAAATTGTTCAATCAAAAGTATGCTTCAACACTGTGAGATGAATGCACACATCACAAAGAAGTTTCTCAGAAAGCTTCTGTCAGTTTTGATATGAAGAAATTTCCTTTTTCACCATAGGCCTCAAAGCACTCACAAATGTCCCTTTGCAGATTCCAAAAAAGACTGTTTCCAAACTGCTCAATCAAAAGAAAAGTTCAACTCTGTGAGATGAATGCAAATATCACAAAGAAGTTTCTCTGAAAGCTTGCTTCTTGGTATTTTGTGAAGACATTTCCTTTTTCACCTTATGGCCACAAATGGATCACAAATATCCCTTTGAAGATTTTACAAAAAGATTGTTTCCAAACTGCTCAATTTAATGTAAGCCTCGACACCATAAGATGAATGCACACATCACAAAAAGTTTCTCAGAAAGCTTCTGTCTAGTTTTTATGTGAAGTTATTTTCTTTTTCAACATAAGCCTCAAAGTGTTCACAAATATCACTTTGCAGATTCGACAAAAAGATTGTTTGCAAACTGCTCAAAGGAACAGTTCAACTCTGTGAGATGGATGAACACATCACAAAGAATTTTCCCAGAAAGCTTCTCTCTAGTTTTTAGGTGAATATATTTACTTTCTCACCATAGGTCTCAAACTGCTCACAAATATACCTTTGCAGATTCTCCAAAAAGACTGATCCCAAACTGATCAATCAAAAGAGATGTTCAACTCTGTGTGATGAAATCACAAATCACAAAGAAGTTCTCAGAAAGCATCTGTCTAGTTTTTATATGAAGATATTTCCTTTTTCACCATAGTCCTCAAACCACCTTCATATATCCCTTTGCAGATTCTACAAAAATACGGTTTCAAAACTGCTCAATTAAAACAAAGGTTCAACTTCATGAAATAAATGCACACTTCACAAAGATGTGTCTCAGAAAGCTTCTGTTTAGTTTTCGTATGAAGAGAATTCCTTTTTCACCGTATGCCACAAAGGGATCACAAATCTGCCTTTACAGATTGTACAAAAAGACTGTTTCCAAACTACTCATTCAAAATAAAGTTTCAATTCTGTGAGGTGAATTCACACATCACAAAGAATTTTCTCAGAGTGTTTCTGTCTAGTTTTTATGTGAAGATATTTACTATATCACCTTAGGCCTCAAAGTGCCCACACATATCCTTTTGCAGATTCTCCTAAAAGACTGTTCCAAACTGGTCAATCAAAAGAAAGGTTAAACACTGTGAGATGAATGTGCTCATCATAAAGAAGTTTCTCAGAAAGCTTCTGTTTACTTTTTATGTGAAGATATTTACTTTTTACCCATAGGCCAAATAGCACTCCAAATATCCCTTTGTAGATTCTACGAAAAGAGTGTTTCCAAACTGCTCAGTCAAAACAGATGTTCAACTCTGTGAGATGAATGCACACATCACAAAGAAGTTTCTCAGAATGCTTCTGTCTAGTTTTTATGTGAGGGTATTTACTTTTTCACTGTAGGCCTTAAACGGCTCTCCAATATCCATCTGCAGACACTACAAAAAGACTGTTTCCAAAATGCTTCACGAAAAGAAATGTTCACCTCTGTGAGATGAATGCCCACTTCACAAAGAAGTTTCTCAGAATGCTTCTGTCTAGTTTTTATATGAAGATATTTCCTTTTTCACCATAGGCCTCAAAGCGCTCCAAATATCCATTTACAGAGTCTACAAAAAGACTGTTTCCAAACTGTGCAGTCAAAAGAAATGTTAAATTCTGTGAGATGAAAGAATACGTCACAAAGAAGTTTCTCAGAAAGCTTCTGTCTAGTTTTTATGTGAAGATATTATCCATTTCACGATAGGCCATTAAGGGCTAACAAATATCCCTTTGCAGATTCAATGAAAAGACTGTTTCCAAACTGCTCAATCAAAAGAAAGGTTCAACTCTGTGTGATGAATGGACACATCATAAACAAGTTTCTTGGAATGCTTCTGTCTAGTATTTATGTGAAGATATTTATTTTCACCACAGGCCTCAAACGTCTCAGAAATATCCCTTTGCAGATTTTGCAAAATGACTGTTTCCAAACTTCTCTATCAAAAGAAAATTTCAACTCTTTGAGGTGAATGCAGGCATCACAAAGTAGTTTATAAGAATGCTTCTGTCTAGTTTTTATGTCAAGATATTTACTTTTTCACCATAGGCCTTAAACTGCTTTCCAATATCCCTCTGCAGACACTACAAAAAAACCATTTCCAACATGCTCCATCAAAGAAAAGTTCACCTCTGTGAGATGAATGCATACATCATGAAAATGTTTCTCAGAACGCTTCTGTCTAGTTTTTATGTGAAGATATTTCCTTTATCACCAAAGACCTCAAAGCACTCCAAATATCCATTTGCAGATTCTATAAAGGACTGTTTCCAAACTACTCAATCAAAACAAACGTTCAACTCTATGAGGTGAAAGCAAACATCAGAAAGAAATTTCTCAGTTCCTTTTTCATGATAAGCCTCAAAGCGCTCAAAATATCCATTTGCAGATTCTGCAAAAAGAGTGTTTCCAAACTGCTCAATCAAAAGAAAGTTTTAACTTTGTGAGACGAATGCACACATCACAAAGAAGTTTCACAGAATGCTTCTGTGTAGTTTTTATGTGAAGATATTTCCTTTTTCACCAGAGGCTTAAACTGGTCACAAATATCCCTCTGCAGATATACAGAAAGACTGTTTCCAAAGTGCTCTATCAAAAGAAAGGTTCAACTCTGTGAGATGAATGCACACATCTCAAAGAAGTTTGTCAGAATGCTTCTGTCTAGTTTTTATGTGAAGATTTTCCTTTTTCAGCATAGGCCTGAAAGCGCTCCAAATATCCAATTGCAGATTCTAAAAAAGGACAGTTGCCAAACTGCTCAATCAAAAGAATGGTTCACCTCTGTAAGATGAATGCAGGCATCTCAAAGAAGTTTCTCAGAATGCTTCTGTCTAGTTTTTATGTGAAGATATTTCCTTTTTCACCATAGGCCTCAAAGCACTCCAAATATCCATTTGCAGATTCTACAAAAACAGTGTTTCTTACCTGCTCAATCAAAAGAAAGGTTCAACTCTGTGAGATGAATGCACACATCACAAAGAAGTCTCTCAGAATGCTTCTGTCTAGTTTTTATTTGAAGATATTTCCTTTTTCACCATAGACCTCAAAGCGCTCTTGTATCCCTGTGCAGATTCTATGAAAAGACTGTTTCCAAACTGCTCAATCAAAAAAAAAAAATTCAACTCTGTGAGATGAATGCACACATCACAAAGATGTTTCTCAGAATCCTTCTAGCTAGTTTTTATGTAAAGATGTTTCCTTTCTCACCATAGGCCTTAAACCAGTGACAAATATCCCCCTGCAGATAATACAAAAAGACTGTTTCAAAAGTGCTCCATCAAAAGCAAGGTTCAAATCTGTGTGATGAATGTACACATCACAAAGAAGATTCTGAGAATGCTTCCGTCTGGTTTTTTATGTGAAGATATTTCCTTTTTCACTACAGGCCACAAAGTGCTCCATATATCCATTTGGAGATTCTACAAAAAGAGTGTTTACAACCTGCTCAATCAAAAGAAATGTTCAACTATGTGAGATGATTGCACACTTCAAAAAGAAGTTTCTCAGAATGCTTCTGTCTAGTTTTAATGTGAAGAAATTTCTTTTTTCACAGTAGGCCTTAAACCTGTCATTAATATCCCTCTGCAGTTACTAAAAAAAGACTTTTTCCAAACTGCTCCATTAAAAGAAAGGTTCAAGTCTGTTAGATGAATGCACACATCACAAAGAAGTTTCTCAGAATGCTTCTGTCTAGTTTTGATGTGAAGATGTTTCCTATTCACCATAGGCCTCAAATCTTTCCAAATATCCATTTGTAGATTCTACAAATAGAGTATTTCTAACCTACTCAATGAAGAAAAAGTTTCAACTGTGTGAGATGAATGCACACGTCACAAAAAAGTTTCTAAGAATCCTACTGTCTAGTTTTTATCTGAAGGTATTTCCTTTTTCACTGTAGGCCTTAATCTGGTCTCAAATATGCCTCTGCAGATACTGCAAAAAGAATGTTCCAAACTTCTACATGAAAAGAATGCTTCAACTCTGTGAAATGAATGCACACATCACAGAGAAGTTTCTCAGAATGTTTCTGGCTAGTTTTTATGTGAAGATATTTCCTTTTTCACCATTGGCCTCAAAACGCTCCAAATATCCTTTTGCGAATTCTACAAAAAGGCTGTTTCCAAACAGATCAATCAAAAGAATGGTCCAACACTGTGAGATGAAAGCATACATCACAAAGAATTTTCTCAGAATGTTTCTGTCTAGTTTTTATGTGAAGATATTTCCTATATCACCATAGGCCATAAAGTGCTCACAAATGTCCCTGTGAAGATTCTATGAAAAGACTGTTTCCAAACTGCTAAATGAAAAGAAAGGTTCAACTCTGTGATATGAATACCCACATCACAAGGAAGTTTCTCAGAATGCTCCTGTCTAGTATTTATCTGAAAAAATTTCTTTTTCACCCTAGGCCTCAAAAGTCTCGGAAATATCCCTTTGCAGATTGTACAAAAAGACTGTTTCCAAACTGCTCATTCAAAAGAAAGGTTTAACTCTGTGAGCTGAATGCAGGCATCACAAAGAAGTTTCTCAGAATGATTCTGTCTAGTTTTTATGTGAAGGTATTTCCTATATTACCATAGACCACAAAATGCTTCAAATATCCACTTGTAGATTCTACAAAAAGACTCTTTCCGATCTCCTAAATCACAAGAAAGGTTCAGCTCTGTGAGATGAATGCACATATCACAAATAAGTTTCTCAGAATGCCTCTGTGTAATATTTATGTGAGGATATTTCCTTTTTCACCATAGGCCTCAAAGCGCTCCAAATACCCATTTGCAGATTCTACAAAAAGAGTGTTTCCAACCTGCTCAATCAAAAGAAAGGTTCAAGACTGGGAGATGAATGCACACATCATATAGAAGTTTCTCAGAATGCTTCTGTCTAGTTTATATATGAAGATACTTATTTTTCACCATAGGCCTCAATTGCTTTGGAAATATCCCTTTGCAGATTGTACAAAAAAACTATTTCCGAACTGCTCAATGAAAAGAAAGGTTTAATTCTGTGAGATGAATGCAGGTTTCACAAAGAAGTTTCTCAGAAAGATTCTGTCTACTATTTATGTGAAGATATTCCCTTTTTCATCATAGGCCTCTAAGTGCTCCAAATATCCATTTGCAGAGTCTACAAAAACACTTTTTCCAAGTTGATCAATCAAAAGAAAGTTTCAACTCTGTGAGATGAATGGACACATCAAAAAGAAGTTTCTCAGAATGCTTCTGTCTAGTTTTTATGTGAAGATATTTCCTTTTTCACCATAGACCTTATACCTGTCATTAATATCCCTTTGCAGATACTAAAAAAGGACTTTTTCCAAACTGCTCCAGTAAAAGAAAGGTTCAACTCTGTGAGATGAATGAACAAATCACAAAGAGGATTCTCAGAATGCTTCTGTATAGTTTTTATGTGAAGACATTTCCTTTTAACCGTAGGCCTCAAAGCATTGCAAATATCCATTTGCAAATTCTACAAAAACACTGTTTTCAAACTGCTCAATGAAAAGAAAGGTTCAAGTGGGTCCGATGAAAGCATACATCACAAAGACGCTTCTCAGAATGCTTCTGTCTAGTTTTTATGTGAAGAAATTTCCTTTATCACCATAGGCCTCAAAGCCCTCCAAATATCCATTTGCAGATTCTACAAAAAGAGTGTTTCCAAACTGCCCAATCAAGGGAAAGTTTCAACTGTGAGAGATGAATGTGCACAACACAAAACAGTTTCTCAGAATGCTTCTGTCTAGTTTTTATGTGAGGATATTTCCTTTTTCACCATAGGCCTTAAACCGGTCACAAATATCCCTCTGTAGATACTACAAAAAGATTGTTTCCAAAGTGCTCCATCTAAGGAAAGGTTCAACTCTGTGAGATGAATGTACACATTACAAAGTTTCTCAAAATGCTCCTGTCTAGATTTTATGTGAAGAAATTTCCTTTTCCACCATAGGCCTCAAAGCCTTCCAAATATCCACTTGCAGATCTTAAAAAAGGTTGATTCCAAACATTTCAATCAAAAGAAAGATTCAACTCTGTGAGATGAATACACACATCACAAAGAAGTTTCTCAGAATGCGTCTGTCTAGTTTTTTTTGTGAATATATTTCCTTTTTCACCATAGGCCTCAAAATGCTCTAAATATACATTTGCAGATTCTACAAAACGAGTGTTTCCAACTGCTCAATCAAAAGAAAGGTTCAACTCTGTGAGATG
This sequence comes from Homo sapiens, assembly GCF_000001405.40. Taxonomy (NCBI): domain Eukaryota; kingdom Metazoa; phylum Chordata; class Mammalia; order Primates; family Hominidae; genus Homo; species Homo sapiens. The sequence goes on from NC_000010.11 coordinate 41,825,101, forward strand.
AATGCACACATCACAAAGAAGTTTCTCAGAATACTTCTGTCTAGGTTTTATGTGAAGATATTTCCTTTTTCACCATAGGCCTTAAACCAGACAGAAATATCCCTCTGCAAATACTACAAAAAGACTGTTTCCTAACTGGTCCATCAAAAGAAAGGTTCATCTCTGTGAAATGAATGAACATATTGCAAAGAAGTTTCTCAGAATGCTTCCGTCTAGTTTTCATGTGAAGATATTTCATTTTCATCATAGGCCTCAAAATGCTCCAAATATCCATTTACAGATTCTACAAAAACACTGTTCCCAAACTGCTCAATCAAAACAAAAGTTAAACTATGTGAGATGAAAGCATACATCACAAAGAAGTTTATCAGAAAGCTTCTGTCTGGTGTTTATGTGAAGATATTTCCTATTTCACCATAGACCACAAAGGGCTCACAAATATCCCTGTGCAGATTCTATGAAAAGACTGTTTCGAAACTGCTAAATCAAAAGAAAGGTTCAATTTTGTGAGATGAATGAACATATCAAATTGAAGTTTCTCAGAAAGCTTATATTTAGTTTTTATGTGAAGATATTTCATTTTTCACCATAGTCCTCAAAGCGCTCCAAATATCCTCTTGCAGATTCTACTAAAGGAGTGTTTCCAACCTGCTCAATCAAAAGAAAAGTTTAACTCTGTGAGATGAATGCACACATCACAAAGAAGCTTCTCAGAATACTTCTGTCTATTTTTTATGTGAAGTTATTTCCCTTTTCACCACAGGCCTTAAACTGGTAACAAATATCCCATGGCAGAACTACAACAAAACTGTTTCCAAAATGCTCAATCAAGGAAACGTTCAAATCTGTTAGATGAATGCTCACATCAGGAAGAAGTTTCTCAGAATGCTGCTGTCTAGTTATTATGTGAATATATATCCTTTTTCACCATAGGCCTCGAAGCGCTCCAAAAATAAATTTGCAGATTTTACTAAAAGACCGTTTCAAACTGTACAAGCAAAAGAAAGTTTCAACTCTGTGAGATGAATGAAAACATCAAAAAGATGTTTCTAAGAATGCTTCTGTCTAGTTTTTGTGTGAAGATATTTCCTTTTTCACAATAAATCTTAAATTGGTCACAAATATCCCTCGGCAGATACTACAAAAAGACTGTTTCCAAACTGCTCAATAAAAAAAGGTTGGTTCATCTCTGTGTGATGAAAGCACACTTTATGACAAACTTTCTCAGAATGCTTCTGTCTAGTTTTTATGTGAAGATATTTAATTTTTCACCGTAGTCCTCAAATCACTCCAAATATCCATTTGCAGATTTAAAAAAAGATGGTTTCCAAACTGCTAAATCAAAAGAAAGCTTCATCTCTGTGAGATGAATGCACACAACACAAAGAAGTTTATCCGAATGCTTCTGTCTAGTTTTTATGTGAAGATATTTCCTTTTGCACCAGAAGCCTGAAAACCTCCAAAAATCCATTTAGAGATTCTACAAAAAGACTATTTACAAACTGTCCCATCAAAAGAAAAGTTCACCTCTGTAAGAAGAAAGCATACATCAAAAAGGAATTTCTCAGAAAACTTCTGTCTAGTTTTATGTGATGATATTTCCTCTTTCACCATAGGCCATAAAGGGCTCACAAATATACCTGTACAGATTCTACAAAAAGTCTGATTCCAAATTGCTCCATTAAAGAAAGTTTCAACTCTGTGAGATGAATGCAAGCATCACAAAGAAATTTATCAAAATGCTTCTGTCTAGTTTTTATGTACACATATTTCTTCTTCACCAAAGTCCTCAAAGTGATCCAGATATACATTTACAGATTCTACAAAAAGAGTGTTTCCAACCTGCTCAATAAAAGGAAAGATTCAACTCTGTGAGATAAAAGCACACATCACAAAGAAGTATCTCAGAAAGCTTCTGTGTACTTTTCATTTGAAGATATTTCCTTTTTCACAATAGGCTTCAAAGCGCTCCAAATATCCATTTTCAGATTCTACAAATAGAGGGTTTCCAAGCTGCTTACTCAAAAGAAAGTTTCAACTCTGGGAGATGAAAGCACACATCACAAAGATGTTTCTCAGAATGCTTCTGTCTAGTTTTAATGTGAAGATATTTCCTTTTTCTCCATATACCTTAAACCTGTCACAAATATCCCTCTGCAGATACTACAAAAAGACTGTTTCCAAAGTGCTTCATCAAAAGAAATGTTCGACTCTGTGAGATGAATGCAGGCATCGCAAAGAAGTTCCTCACAATGCTTCTGCCTAGTTTTTCTGTGAGGATATTTCCTTTTTCAGCATAGGCCTCAAAGAGTGTTTCCAAACTGCTCAATGAAAAGAAAGGTTCAACTCTGTGAGATGAATGCACACATCACAGAGAAGTTTCTGAGAATGCTTCAGTCTAGTTTTTAAGTGAAGATATTTCTTTTCCACCATAGGCCTCAAACGGCTAAGAAATATCCATTTGCAGATCGTACAAAAAGACTGTTTCCAAGCTGCTCAATCAAAGGAAAGGTTCAATTCTGTGAGATGAATGCAGGAATCTAAAAGAAGTTTCTCAGAATGCTTCTGTCTGGTTTTTATGTGAAGATATTTCCATTATCACTATAGGCCTCAGAGCGCAACAATTATCCATTTGCAGATTCTACAAAAAGACTGTTTCCAAACTGCTCAATGAACAGAAAAGTTCAGCTTGGTGAGATGAAAGCATACATCACAAGGAAGTTTCTGATAAAGTTTCTCTCTATGTTTTATGTGAAAATATTTCCTATTTCACCATAGGCCATAAGGGGCTCAAAAATAACCCTGGCAGAATTTATGAAAATACTGTTTCCAAACTGCTCAATCAAAAGAAAGGTTCAACCTTGTGAGATGAATGCACACATCAAAAAAAGTTTCTCAGGATGCTTCTGTCTACTTTTACTGAGAAGATATTTCTTTTTCACTATAGGCCTCAAACGGCTCCGAAATATCCCTTTGCATACTGTACAAAAAGACGTTTTCCAAATTGCTCAATAAAAAGAAAGGTTCCACTCTGTGAAACGAATGTAGGAATCACAAAGAAATTTCTCAGAATGCGTTTGTCTAGTTTTTATGTGCTCATATTTCCTTTTTCACCATGGGCCTCAAAAGGCTCCAAATATCCATTTGCAGATTCTACAGAAAGACTGTTTCCAAACTGCTCAGCCAAAGGAAAGGTTCAACCCTTTGAGATAATTGCACACATCACAAAGATGTTTCTCAGAATGCTTTTGTTTAGTTTTCAGGTGAAAATATTTCCAGTTTCACCATAGGCCTCAAAGTACTCCAAATACCACTTGCAGATACTACAAAAAGAGTGTTTCAAAACTGCTCAGTCAAAAGAAAGTTTCAACACTGTGAGATGAATGCACATATCACAAAGAAGTTTCTCAGAATGATTCTGTCTAGATTTTATGAGGAGATAATTCCTTTTCCATTATAGGCCGCAAAGCACACCAAATATCCACATGCAGATTCTACAAAAAGAATGCCTCAAAACTACTCAATCAAAAGAAAGGTTCAACACTGTGAGATGAATGCACACATCACAAAGAAGTTTCCCAGAATACTTCTGTCTAGTTTTTATGTGAAGATATTTCCATTTCCACAATAGGCCTCAAAGCACTCCAAATATCCACTTGAAGATTCTACAAAAAGTGTGTTTCAAAACTGCTCAATAAAAAGAAAAGTTCATCTCTGTGAGATGAATGCACACATCACAAAGATATTTCTCAGAATAATTCTATCTAGTTTTAATGTGAAGACATTTCCTTTTCCACCATAGGCCACAAAGCACTCCAAATAACCATTGGCAGATACTACAGAACGACTGTTTCCAAACTGCTCAATCAAAAGAAAGGTTCAACTCTGTGAGTTGAATGCACACATCAGAAAGTAGTTTCTCAGAATGCTTCTGTCTAGTTTTTAGGTGAAGATATTACCCTTTCCACCATAGGCCTCAAAGCAGTCCAAATATCCACTTGCAGATTCTACAAAAAGAGTGCTACAAAACTGCTCAATCAAGGCTGGAAAACCCTCCAAATATCCACTTAGATATTCTACAAAAAGAATGTTTCAAAACTGCACAATCAAAAGAAAGTTTCAACTCTGTGAGAGAAATGCACACATCACAAAGAAGTTTATCAGAAAGCTTCTGTCTAGTTTTGATGGGAAAATATTCCCTTTTCCACCATAGGCCTCAAAGCACTGCAAATATCCATTTGCATATACTACAGAAAGACTGTTTCCAAATTGCTCAATCAAAAGAAACTTTCAACCGTGTGAGTTGAATGCACACATCACAAAGAGGTTTCTCAGAATCCTTCGGCTGCATTTTTATGTGAAGATATTTTCTTTTCTACCATAGACCTCAAAGTGCTCCAAATATCCACTGGCAGCTTCTACAAAAAGAGTGTTTTAAAACTGCTCAATCAAAAGAAAGGTTCAACTCTGTGATTTGATTGCTCACTTCACAAATCAGTTTCTCAGAATGCTCCTGTCTAGTTTATATGTGAAGATATACCCTTTTCCACCATAAGCCTCAAAGCGCTCTACTTATCCAATTGAATATTCTGCAAAAAGAGTGTTTCAAAACAGCTCAATCAAAAGAAACATTCAACTATGTGGGATAAGTGCACACATAAAAAAGAAGTTTCTCAGAATGTTTCTGTCTAGTTTTTATGTGAAGATATTTGCTTTTTGACTATAGGCCACAAAGCACTCCAAATATCCACTTGCAGATTCTACAGAAAACGTGCTTCAAAAGTGCTCAATCGAAAGAAAGGTTCAACTCTGTGAGATGAATGCACACATCACAAAGAAGCTTCTCAGAGAGCTTCTGTCTAGTTTTTATGTGAAGATATTTCCTTTTCCACTATTGGCCTCAAGGAGTTCCAAATATACATTTGGAGACATTATAAAAAGTCTGTTTCCAAACTGCTAAGTGCAAAGAAAGTTTCAACCCTGTGAGATGAATAAACACATCACAAAGAAGTTTCTCAGAATGCTTCTGTCTAGTTTTTATGTGAAGATATTTGATTTCCAACATAAGTCCCAATGCACCCCAAATATCCATTTGCTGATACTACAAAAAGACTGTTTCCAAACTGCTCAATGAAAAGAAAGGTTCAACTCTGTGAGTTGAACACACAAATCACAAAGTGGTTTCTCAGAATGATTCTATCTAGTTTTATATGAAGATATTTCATTTTCTACAATAGGCTTCAAAGCACTCTAAATATGCTCTTGAAAATTCTACAAAAAGAGTGCTTCAAAACTGCTCTATCAAAAGTAAGGTTCAAATCCATGAGGTGAATGCACACATCACAAAGAAGTTTCTCAGAATTCTTCTGTCTAGTTTTATAAGAAGAAATCCCGTTTCCAAAGAAGGCCTCAAAGAGGTCCAAATATCCACTTGCAGATTCTACAAAAAGAGGGTTTCAAAACTGCTCTATCAAAAGAAAGGTTAAACTCAGTGAGGTGAACACATATCACGAAGTGCTTTCTAAGAATGATTCTGTCTCGTCTTATATGAAGATAATTTGTTTCCTACAATAGGCTTCAAAGCAGTCTAAATATGCACTTGGAAATTGTACAAAAAGAGTGTTTCAAAACAGCTCTAATGAAAGGAGTGTTCAAAACTGTGAGTTCAATGCACACATCACAAAGAAGTTTCTCTGAATTCTTCTGTCTAGTTTTATATGAAGAAATCCCGTTTCCAACGAAGGCCTCAAAGAGGTCCAAATATCCACTTGCAGACTTTACAAACAGAGTATTTCATAACTACTCTATCAAAAGAAAGGTTAAACTCTGTGAGTTGAACGCACACATCACAAAGTAGTTTCTGAGAATGATTCTGTCTAGTTTTTATACAAAGATATTTCCTTTTCTACCATTGGCCACAAAGCGCTTTAAGTCTCGACTTGCAAATTCTACAAAAAGAGTGTTTCAAAACTGCTCTATTGAAAGGAAGGTTCAACGCTGTGAGTAGAATGCACACATCACAAAGAAGTTTCTGAGAATTCTTCTGTCTACTTATATATGAAGAAACCTGTTTCCAACAGAGGCCTCAAAGAGGTCCAAATATCCACTTGCAGATTCTACAAAAAGAGGGTTACAAAATTGCTCTATCAAAAGAAAGCTTAAACTCTGTGAGGTGAACACACACATCACAAAGTGGTTTCTGAGAATGATTCTGTCCAGTTTTTCTATGAAGATAATTCGTTTTCTAGCAGAGGCTTCAAAGCAGTCTAAATATGCACTTCGAAATTACACAAAAAGAGTTTCAAAACAGCTCTAACGAAAGGAGGATTCAAAACTGTGTGTTCAATGCACACATCACAGAGAAGATTCTCAGAAATCTTAAGTCTAGTTTTATATGAAGAAATCCCATTTCCAACGAAGGTCTCAAAGAGGTCCAAATATCCACTTGCAGACTTTACAAACAGAGTGTTTCAAAGCTCCTCTATCAAAAGAAAGGTTAAATTCTGTGAGTTGAACTCACACATCACAAAGTAGTTTCCGAGAATGATTGTGTCTAGTTTTTATACCAAGATATTTCCTTTTCTGCCATTGGCCACAAAGCGCTTTAAATATCCACTTGCAAATTCTACAAAAAGAGTGTTTCAAAACAGCTCTATCTAAAGGAAGGATCAACTCGGTGAGTTGAATACACTCAACAAAAAGAAGCTACTGAGAATTCTTCTATCTAGCTGTATAGGAACAAATCCCGTTTCCAAAGAAGGCCTCAAAGAGGTCCAAATATCCACTTGCAGATTCTGCAAAAAGAGTGTTTCAAAACCGCTCTATCAAAAGGAATGTTGAACTCTGTGAGTTGAATGCAAACATCACAAATTAGTTTCTGAGAATGCTTCTGTCTAGTTTTTAGGGTAAGATATTTCATTTTCTACAATAGGCCACAAAGCCCTCTAAATATACATTTGCAAATTCTACAAAAAGAGTGTTTCATATCTGCACTATCAAAAGAAAGGTAAAACTCTGTGAGTTGAACTCACACATCACAAAGTAGTTTCTGAGAATGATTCTGTCTAGTTTTTATACGAAGATATACCCTTTTCTACCATTGTCCCACTTTAAATGTCCACTTGCAAATTCTACAAGGAGAGTGTTTCAAAACTGCTACATCAAAAGAAAGGTTAAAATCTGTGAGTTGAAAACACACATCACAAAGCGGTTTCTGAGAATGACTCTGTCTAGTTTTTATATGAAGATATTTCATTTTCTACCATAGGCTTCACAGCATTCCAAATATGCACTTGGAAATTCTACAAAAAGTGTGTGTCAAAACTGTTCTATTGAAAGGAAGGTTCAACACTGTGAGTTCAATGCACACACCAGAAAGAAGTTTCTCAGAATTCTTCTTTCTAGTTTTATATGAAGAAATCCCATTTCCAACGAAGTCCTCAAAGAGGTCCATATATCCACTTGCAGACTTTACAAACAGGGTTTCAAAGCGGCTATATCAAAAGAAAGGTTAAACTCCGTGAGTTGAACACACACAGCACAAATTAGTTTCTGAGAATGATTCTGTCTAGTTTTTATACAAAGATATTCCCTTTTCTGACATAGGTCTCAAAGCGCTTGAAATCTACACTTGCAAATTCTAGAAAAAGAGTGTTTCAAATCTTCTCTATCTAAAGGAAAGTTCAACTCTGTGAGTTCAATACACTCAACACAAAGAAGCTACTGAGAATTCTTCTGTCTAGCTTTATATGAAGAAGTCCCATTTCCAAAAAAGACCTCAATAGTTCCAGATATCCATTTACAGATTCTAGAAAAAAAGTGTTTCAAAACAGCTCTATCAAGAGGAATGTTGACCTTTTGATAGAGTAGTTTCTGAGACTACTTCTGTCTAGTTTTTATACGAAGACATTTCGTATTTATACGAAGATATGACGTTTTCTACCATTGGTCTCAAAGTGCTTTAAATCTCCACATGCAAATTCAAAAAAATGAGATTTTCAAATCAGCTCTATCTAAAGGAAGGTTCAACTCTTTGAGTTGAATACACACAACACAAATAAGTTTCTGAGAATGATTCTGACTGGTTTTTATACGAAGATATTTCCTTTTCTACCATTGGCCTCAAAGTGCTTTAAATCTCCACTTGTAAATCCTACTAAAAGAGTGTTTCAAATCTGCTCTATCTAAATGAAGGTTCAACTCTCTGAGTTGAATACACTCAACACAAAGTAGTTACTGAGAATTTTTCTGTCTAGTTTTATATGAAGAAATCCCATTTCCAATGAAGGCCTCAATGACGACAAAATATCCACTTGCAGACTTTACAAACAGAGTGTTTCCAAACTGCTCTATCAAAAGAAAGGTTAAACTCTGTGAGTTGAATGCACGCATCACAAAGCAGTTTCTGAGATTGATTCTGTCTAGATTTTATACGAAGATATTTCCTTTTCTACCATTGGACTAAAAGCGCTTTGACTCTCCACTTGCAAATTCTACAAAAAGAGTGTTTCAAATCTGCTCTATCTAAAGGAAGGTTCAAGTCTGTGAGTTGAATACTCTCAACACAAAGAATTTACTGAGAATTTTTCTGTCTAGTTTTAAATGACTAAATCCCGTTTCTATGAAGGCCTCAAAGAGGTCCAAATATCCACTTGCAGATTCTACAAAAACAATGTTTCAAAACTGCTCTATCAAAAGGAATGTTGAACTCTGTGGGTTGAATGCAAACATCACAAATTAGTATCAGAGAATGCTTCTGTTTAGTTTTTATGGTAAGATATTTCCTTTTCTAGCATAGGCCCCAAAGCCCTCTAATTACACCCGTGCAAATTCTACGAAAAGAGTGTTTCATAACTGCTCTATCAAAAGAAAGGTTAAACTCTGTGAGTTGAACGCACACATCACAACATGGTTTCTGAGAGTGATTCTGTCTAGTTTTTATACGAACATATTTCGTTTTCTACCTCAGGCTTCAAAGCACTGTAAGTATGCACTTGGAAGTTCTACAAAAAGAGTCTTTGAAAACTGCTCTTTTGAAAATAAGGATCAACTCTCTGAGTTCAATGAACCCATCACAAAGAAGATTCTCAAAATTCTTCTGTCCTGTTTTGTAGGAAGAATTCCCGTTTCCAATGAAGGCCTCAAAGAGGTCAAACTGCCCACTTACAGACTTTACAAACAGAGAGTTTCAAAACTGCTCTATCAAAAGAAAGGTTAAATTCTGTGAGTTGAACGCACACATCACAAAGTAGTTTCTGAGAGTGAATCTGTCTAGTTTTTATATGAAGATATTTCCTTTTCTACCATAGGCCTCAAAGCGCTTTAAATATCCACTTGCAAATTCTACAAAAGGAGTGTTTCAAATCTGCTCTCCCTAAAGGAAGGTTCAACTCTGTGAGTGGAATGCACACATCACAAAGAAGTTTCTCAGAATTCTGTCTTGTTTTATATGAAGAATTCCCATTTCCAACGAAGTCCTGAAAGAGATCCAAATATCCATTTGCTTACTTTACAAACAGAGTGTTTCAAAACAGCTCTTTCACAAGAAAGGTTAAACTCTGTGAGTTGAACACACACATCACAAAATAGATTCTGAGAATGATTCTATCTAGTTTTTATATGAAGATATTTCTTTTCACATATAGGCCTAAAAGTTCTCAAAATATTAACTTGGAAATTCTACAAAAAGAGTGTTTCAAAACTGCTCTATCGAAAGAAAGGTTCAACACTTTGAGTTGAATACACAAATCCAAAGAAGTTTCTGAGAATTCTTCTGTCTAGTTTTATAAGAAGAAACCCGTTTCCAACGAAGGCCTCAAAGAGGTCCAAATATCCACTTGCAGATTCTACAAAAAGAGGGTTTCAAAACCACTCTATCAAAAGAAAGTTTAAACTCTGTGAGATGAACACACACAACACAAAGTGGTTTCTTAGAATGATTCTGTCTCGTTTTTATAAGAAGATAATTCATTTTCTACCATAGGCTTCAAAGCAGTCTATGCACTTGTAAATTCTACACAAAGAGTGTTTCACAACAGCTCTAAAGAAAGGAGGGTTGAAAATTGTGAGTTCAATGCACAAATCACAGAGAAATTTCTCAGAATTCTTCTGTCTAGTTTTATATGAAGAAACCCCGTTTCCAATGAAGGCCTCAAAGAAGTCCAAATATCCACTTGCAGACTTTACACACACAGTGTTTCAAAACTGCTCTATCAAAAGAAAGGCTAAACTCTGTGAGATGAATGCACACATCACAAAGTAATTTATGAGAATAATTCTGTCTAGTTTTTATACGAAGATATTTCCTTTTCTAACACTGGCCTCAAAGTGCTTTAAATCTCAACTTGCAAATTCAACAAAAAGAGTGTTTAAAATCTTCTCTATCTAAATGAAGCTTCAACTCTGTGAGTTGAATACACACAACACAAACAAGTTACTGAGAATTTTTCTGTCTAGTTTTATATGAACAAATCTCATTTCCAATGAAGGCCTCAAAGAGGTCCAAATATCCACTTGCAGATTCTACAAAAAGAGTGTTTCAAAACTGCTCTATCAAAAGGAATGTTGAACTCTGTGAGTTGAATGCAAACATCACAAATTAGTTTCTGAGAATGCTTCTGTCTAGTTTTCATGGTAAGCTATTTCCTTTTCCACAATAGGCCACAAAGCCCTCTAAATACACCCTTGCAAATTCTACAAAAAGAGTGTTTCATAACTGCTCTATCAAAAGAAAGGTTAAACTCTGTGAGTTGAACGCACGCATCACAACGCGGTTTCTGAGAATGATTCTGTCTAGTTTTTATATGACGATATTCCGTTTTCTGCCATAGGCTTCAAAGCACTCTAAGTATGCACTTGGAAGTTCTACAAAGGAGTGTTTCAAAACTGCTCTTTTGAAAGTACGGTTCAACATTGTGAGTTGAATGCACACATCCAAAAGGGGTTTCTCAGAATTCTTCTGTCTTGTTTTATATGAAGAATTCCCTTTTCAAATGAAGGCCTCAAAGACGTCCAAATATCCACTTGCAGCTTCTACAAAATAAGTGTTTCAAAACAGCTGTATCAAAAACAATGTTGAACACTGTGAGTTGAACGAAAACATCCCAAAGTAGTTTCTGAGAATGAATCTGTCTGGTTTTTTATGAAAATGTTTACTTTTCTAACATAGGCCTCAAAGTGCTTTATAAATCCACTTGCAAATTCTACAAAAGGAGTGTTTCAAAACTGCTCTATCAAAAGAAATGTTAAACTCTGTGAGTAGAACACACACAACACAAAGTTGTTTCTGAGAATGATTTTGTCTACTTTTTATATGAAGATATTCCTTTTTTTACAATAGGCTTCAAAGCACTCTAAATATGCCCTTGGAAATTATGCAAAAAGTGTGTTTCAAAACTGCCCTATCGAAAGGATGGTTCAACTCAGTGAGTTGAATGCACACATCACAAAGAATTTTCTCAGAATTCTTCTGTCCAGTTTTATAAGAAGAAATCCCGTTTCCAAAGAAGACCTCAAAGAGGTCCAAATATCCACAGGTTTACTTTACAGAGTGTTTCAAAACAGCTCTTACAAAAGAAATGTTAAACTCTGTGAGTTTTACACACACATCACAAAATTGATTCTCAGAATTATTCTATCTAGTTTTTATATGAGATATTTCCTTTCATAATATAGGCCTGAAAGTTCTCACAATATTTACTTTGAAATTCTACAAAAAGTGTGTTTCAAATCTGCTCTGCCAAAGGAAGTTTCAACTCTGGGAGATGAATCTCCACCTCAAAAGAAGTTTCTCAGAAATCTTCTGTCTACGTTTATAAGAAGAAATCCCATTTCCAATGAAGGCCTCAAAGAGGTCCAAATATCCACTTGCTTACTTTACAAACAGAGTGTTTCTAAACACCTCTTTCAAAATAAAGGTTAAACTATGTGAGTTGAATGCACACATCACAAAATAGATTCTGAGAATGATTCTTTGTAGTTTTTACATGAAGATATTCCTTTCCTCATATAAGCCTAAAAGTTCTCAGAATGTTAACTTGGAAATTCTACAAAAAGAGTGTTTCAAAACTCCTCTATCGAAAGTAAGGTTCAACACTGTGAGTTGAATACACACATCACAAAGAAGATTCTGAGAATTCCTCTATCTAGTTTTGTATGAAGAAACCCGTTTCTAATGAAGGCATCAATGAGGTCCAAATATCCACTTGCAGATTCTACAAAAAGAGGGTTTCAAAACTGCTCTATCAAAAGAAAGGATAAACTCTGTGAGGTGAACACACACATCACATAGTGGTTTCTGAGAATGATTCTGTCAATTTTTTTATGAAGATAATTCCTTTTCTGCAATAGGATTCAAAGCAGACTAAATATGCACTTCGAAATTCTACAAAAACAGCGTTTCAAAACAGCTCTAAAGAAAGGAGGGTTCAAAACTGTGAGTTCAATGCACACCACAAAGAAGTTTCTCAGAATTCTTCGGTCTATTTTTATATGAAGAAATATCGTTTCCAATGAAGGCCTCAAAGAGGTCCAAATATCCACTTGCAGACGTTACAAACAAAGTGTTTCAAAACTTCTCTACCAAAAGAAAGGTTAAACTCTGTGAGTTGAACGGAGACATCACAAAATAATTTCTGAGAATCATTCTTTCTAGTTTTTATACAAAGATATTTCTTTTTCTACCATTGGCCACAAAGTGTTTTAAATCTCCACTTGCAAATTCTACAAAAAGAGTGTTTCAAATCTGCTCTATCTAAAGGGAGGTTCAACTCTGTGAGTTGAATACACTCAACACAAAGAAGTTACTGAGAATTCTTCTGTCTAGCATTATATGAAGAAATCCCGTTTCCATCGATGGCCTCAAAGAGGTTCAAATATCCACTTGCAGATTCCGCAAAAAGAGGGTTTCAAAAATGTTCTATCAAAAGGAAAGTTGAATTATGTGAGTTGAATGCAAACATCACAAAGTAGTTACTGAGAATGCTTCTGTCTAGTTTTTATGGTAAGATATTTCCTTTTCTACCATAGGCCACTAAGCCCTCTAAATACACCATTGCAAATACTACAAAGAGAGTGTTTCATAACTGCTCTATGGAAAGAAAGGTTAAACTCTGTGAGTTGAACGCACAGATCACAACGTGGTTTCTGAGAATGATCCTGTCTAGTTTTTACATGAAGATATTTCATTGTCTCCCGTAGGCTTCAAAGCACTTTAAGTATGCACTTGGAAGTACTACAAAAAGAGTGTTTGAAAACTGCTCTTTCAAAAGTAAGGTTCAACTCTGTGACTTGAATGCACACATCACAAAGAAGTTTCTCAGAATTCTTCGGTCTTGTTTTATATGAAGAATTCCCGTTTCCAACGAAGGCCTCAAAGAGGTCGAAATATCCGCTTGCAGAATTTTCATACAGAGTGTTTCAAAACTGCTCTATCAAAAGAAAGTTTAAATTCTGTGAGTTGAACCCCCACATCACAAAGAAGTTTCTAAGAATGAATCTGTCTAGTTTTTGTATGAAGATATTTCTTTTTATATCGTAGGCCTCAAAGAGCTTCACATATCCACTTGCAAATTATACCCAGTGTTTCAAAACTGCTCTATCAAAAGAAAGGTTAAACACTGTGAGTTGAATGCACAAATCACAAAGAAGTTTCTCAGAATTCTTCTGTCTAGATTTATAAGAAGAATTCTCGTTTCCAACGAAGGCCTTAAAGAGTTCCATATATCCACTTGCTTACTTTACTAAAAGAGTGTTTCAAAACAGCTCTTTCAAAAGAAACGTTAAACTCTGTGAGTTGAAGGCACACATCACAAAATAGGTTCTGAGAATGATTCTGTCTAGTTTTCATTTGAAGATATTTCCTTTTCTAATATAGGCATAAAAGTTCTCACAACATTAACTTCGAAATTCTACAAAAAGAGTGTTTCAAAACTTCTCTATCCAAAGTAAGGTTCAACACTGTGAGTTGAATACACACACCACAAAGAAGTTTCTAAGAATTCTTCTGTCTAGTTTTATATGAAGAATCCCGTTTCCAATGAAGGCTTCAAAGAGGTCCAAATATCCACTTGTAGATTCTACAAAAAGAGGGTTTCAAAACTGCTCTATCAAAAGAAAGGTTAAACTCTGTGAAGTGAACACACACATCACAAAGTGGTTTCTGAGAATGATTCTGTCTAGTTTTTATATGAAGATAATTCGTTCTCTACAATAGGCTTCAAAGCAGTCCAAATATGCACTTGGAAATTCAACAAAAAGAGTGTTTCAAAACAGCTGTAACGAAAGGAGGGTTCAAAACTGTGAGTTCAATGCACACATCACAAAGAAGTTTCTCAGAATTCTTCTGTCTAGTTTGATATGAAGAAATCCCGTTTCCAGCGAAGGCCTCAAAGAGGTCCAAATATCCACTTGCAGACTTTACAAACAGAGTGTTTCCAAACTGCTCTATGAAAAGAAAGCTTAAACTCTGTGAGTTGAACGCACACATCACAAAGTAGTTTCTGAGAATGATTCTGTCTAGTTTTTATACGAAGATATTTCCTTTTCTTCCTTTGGCCTCAAAGCGCTTTCAATCTCCACTTGCAAATTCCACAAAGAGTGTCTCAAATCTGCTCTGTCTAAAGGAAGGTTCAACTCTGTGAGTTGAATACACACAACACAAAGAAGTTACTGAGAATTCTTCTGTCTAACATTATGTGAAGAAATCCCGTTTCCAACGAAGGCCTCAAAGAGGTCCAAATATCCACTTGCAGATTCTGCAAAAAGAGTGTTTCCAAACTGCTCTATGAAAAGTAAGGTTAAACTCTGTGAGTTGAATGCACACATCACAAAGTAGTTTCTGAGAATGATTCTGTCTAGTTTTTATACGAAGATATTTCCTTTTCTACCATTGGCCTCAAAGCGCCTGAAATCTCCACTTGCAATTTCCAAAAAAAGAGTGTTTCAAATCTTCTCTGTCTAAAGGAAGGTTCAACTCTGTGAGTTGAATACACACAACGCAAAGAAGTTACTGAGAATTCGTCTGTCTACCACTATATGAAGAAATCCCGTTCCAACGAAGGTCTCAAAGAGGTCCAAATATCCACTTGCAGATTCTGCAAAGAGTATTTCAAAACCGCTCTATCAAAAGGAATGTTGAACTCTGTGAGTTGAATGCAAACATCACAACTTAGTTTCTGAGAACGCTTCTGTCTAGTATTTATGTAAGATATTTCCTTTTCTACCATAGGCCTCAAAGCCCTCTAAATACACCCTGGCAAATTCTACAAAGAGAGTGTTCCATAAGTGCTCTAATGAAAGAAAGGTGAAACTCTGTGAGTTGAATGCAGAGATCGCAACGTGCTTTCTGAGAAAGGTTCTGTCTAGTTTTTACATGAAGATATTAAGTTGTCTACCGTAGGCTTCAAAGCACTCTAAGTATGCACTTGGAAGTTCTACAAAAAGAGTGTCTGAGAACTGCTCTTTGGAAAGTAAGGTTCAACCCTGTGAGTTGAATGCACACATCACAAAGAAGTTTCTCAGAATTCTTCTGTCTAGTTTTATAAGAAAAATCCCGTTTCCAATGAAGGCCTCAAAGAGGTCAAAGTATCCACTTGCAGACTTTACAAACAGAGGGTTTCCAAACTGCTCTATGAAAAGAAAGGTTAAACTCTGTGAGTTGAACACACACATCACAAAGTAGTTTCTGAGAATGATTTTGTCTAGTTTTTATAAGAAGATATTTCCTTTCCTACAATTGGCCTCAAAGCGATTGAAATCTCCACTTGAAAATTCCACAAAAAGAGTGTTTCAAATCTGGTCTGTCTAAAGGAAGGTTCAACTCTGTGAGTTGAATACACACAACACAAAGAAGTAACTGAGAATTCTTCTGTCTAGCATTATATGAAGAAACCCCGTTCCAACGAAGCCCTGAAGGAGGTCCAAATATCCACTTGCAGACTTTACAAACAGAGATTTTCCAAACTGCTCTATGAAAAGGATGGTTAAACTCTGCGAGTTGAATGTACACATCACAAAGAAGTTTCTGAGAATGATTCTGTCTAGTTTTTATACGAAGAAATTTCCTTTTCTACCATCGGCCTGAAAACTCTTGAAATCTCCACTTGCAAATTCCACAAAAAGAGTGTTTCAAATCTGCTCTGTCTAAACGAAGGTTCAACTCTGTGAGTTGAATACAGCCAACCCAAAGAAGTTACTAAGAATTCTTCTGTCTAGCATTATATGAAGAAATCCCATTTCCAACGAAGGCCTCAAAGAGGTCCAAATATCCACTTGCAGACTTAACAAACAGAGTGTTTCCAAACTGCTCTATGAACAGAAATGTTAAACTCTGTGAGTTGAACACACACATCACAAAGTAGTTTCTGAGAATGATTCTGTCTAGTTTTTATACGAAGATATTTCCTTTCTACCATTGGTCTCAAATCTCTTGAAATCTCCACTTGCAAATTCCACAAAAAGAGTGTTTCAAATCTGCTCTGTCTAAAGGAAGGTTCAACTCTGTGAGTTGAATACACAAAACGCAAAGCAGTTACTGAGAATTCTTCTGTCTAGCATTATATGAAGAAATCCCATTTCCAACGAAGGCCTCAAAGAGGTCAAAATATCCGCTTGCAGACTTTACAAACAGAGTGTTTCCAAACTGCTCTATGAAAAGACAGGTTAAACTCTGCGAGTTGAACATACACATCACAAAGTAGTTTCTGAGAATGATTCTGTCTAGTTTTTATAGGAAGATATTTCCTTTTCTACCATTGGCCTCAAATATCTTGAAATCTACACTTGCAAATTCCACAAAAAGCCTGTTTCAATTCTACTCTGTCTAAAGGAAGGTAGAACTCTGTGAGTTGAATACACTCAACCCAAAGAAGTTACTGACAATTCTTCTGTCTAGCATTATATGAAGAAATCCCGTTTCCAACGAAGGGCTCAAAGAGGTCCAAATATCCACTTGCAGACTTTACAAACAGAGCGTTTCCAAACTGCTCTATGAAAAAAAAGGATAAACTCTGTGAGATGAATGCACACATCACAAAGTAGTTTCTGAGAATGCTTCTTTCTAGTTTTTATACGAAGATATTTCCTTTTCTTCCATTGCCCCAATGCACTTGAAATCTCCACCTGAAAATTCCACAAAAAGAGAGTTTCAAATCTGCTGTGTCTAAAGGAAGGTTCAACCCTGAGACTTGAATTAAACACAACACAAAGAAGTTACTGAGAAATCTTCTGTCTAGCATTATATGAAAAAATCCTCTTTCCATCGAAGGCCTCAAAGAGGTCCAAATATCCACTTGCAGACTTTACAAACAGAGTGTTTTGAAATTGCTCTATGATCAAACCGGTTACTGAGGTTTGTGAATTCATCATGTAGTTCTCGTGTCATGGTTTTCAGCTGCATCAGGTCCTTTAAGGAATTCTCTGCATTCATTATTCTAGTTAGCCATTCATCTAATTTTTTGTCAAGGTTTTTAACTTCTTTGCCATGTGTGCGAACTTCCTCCTTTAGCTCGGATAAGTTTGATCATCGGAACACTTCTTCCCTCCACTCATCAAAGTCATTCTCCATCTAGCTTTGTTCCATTGCTGGTGTGAAGCTGCATTCCTTTGGAAGAGGAGAGGCACAATCAAGCAAGAACAACACAGAAGAAAAGAGAGAAGAATCAAATAGATGCAATTAAAAATGATAAAGGGGATATCACCACCAATCCCACAGAAATACAAACTACCATCAGAGAATACTAAAAACACCTCTGTGCAAATAAACCAGAAAATCTAGAAGGAATGGATAAATTCCTCAACACATACTCCTTCCCAAGTTGTTCCATTCGATTCTATTCGGTGATTCCATTCGATTCCATTTGATAATGATTCCATTCAAGACCATTCAATGATTCCATTCAATTCCATTCAATAATGATTCCATTTGAGTCCATTCAACGATTCCATTCAAGTCCATTCGATGATTCCATCTGATTCCATACAATGAATACATTCGATTCCATTCTATGATGATTCCATTTATTTCCATCTGATGATGATTCCACTCGATTCCATTCAATGATTCCATTGGATTCCATTTGATCATGATTTCAATCAATTTCATTCGATGGTTCGATTCGAATCCATTCGATGATGAGTCCATCCATTTCAATTTCATGATAATTCCATTCGTTTCAATTTGATGGTGTTTCCATTCGATTCCATTCGATGTTGATTCCATTAGCTTCCTTTGGATGATGATTCCATTCGAGTCCATTCGATGATGATCACATTGGATTTCATTCCATAATTCTACTCGATTCCATTTGATGATGATTCCATCTGATTCCATTTGATGATTCCATTTGATTCCATTAGATGATGATTCCATTCGTTTCCATCCGATGATGATTCCATTTGATTCCGTTCAATGATTATTCCATTTGAGTCCATTCGATGATTCCATTCGATTCCATTTGATGATGATTGCATTCGAGTCCATGGATTATTCCATTCCATTCCATTAGATGGTTCCATTCGAGTCCATTCGATGATTCTCTTCGATTGCATTTGATAATTCCATTTGATTCCGTTTGACGTTGATTCCATTTGAGTCCATTCAATGATAATTCCATTCGATTCTATGCGATGATTCCATTCCTTTCCATTTGAAGGTGATTCCATTCGAGACCATTCGATGATTGCATTCAATTCATTCGATGACGATTCCATTCAATTCCGTTCAATGATTCTATTAGATTCCATTTAATGATGATTCCATTCGATTCCATTGGTGATGATTCCATGCGATTCCATTAGATGATGACTCCTTTCATTTCCATTCAATTAGGATTCCATTCGGTTCCATATGATGATGATTCCATTGAATTCCATTTGATGACAATTCCATTCAATACCAATTGATTATGGTTATTTTTGATTCCATTTGATGATGATTACATTCGATTCCATTTGATCATGATTCCATTTGATTCCACTCGATGATTCCATTCGATTCCATTCAATGATGATTCCATTCGAGTTCATTGACTATTCCATTCCATTCCATTCGATGATTCCATTTGAGTCCATTCGATGATTCTATTCGATTGCATTCGATAATTCCATTCGATTGCATTTGATAATTCCATTTGATTCCATTTGAGGATAATTCCATTTGAGTCCATTCGATGATTGTTCCATTCGATTCTATTCGGTGATTCCATTCGATTCTATTTGATAATGATTCCATTCGAGACCATGCGATGATTCCATTCAATTCCATTCAATAATGATTCCATTCGAGTCCATTCAATGATTCCATTCAAGTCCATTTGTTGATTCCATCTGATTCCATTCAATGAATCCATTCGATTCCATTCTATGATGGTTCCATTCATTTCTATCTGATGATAATTCCATTCAATTCCATTCAATGATTCCATTCGATTCCATTTGATGATGATTTCAATCAATTTCATTTGATGATTCCATTCGAATCCATTTGATGATGAGTCCATCCATTTCAATTTCATAATTCCATTCGTTTCAATTCGATGGTGTTTCCATTCGATTCCATTCGATGTTAATTCCATTAGTTTCCATTGGATGATGATTCCATTTGAGTCCATTCGATCATGATCACATTGGATTTCATTCCATAATTCTATTCTATTCCATTTCATGATGATTCCATCTGATTCCATTTGATGATTCCATTCGATTCCATTCTATGATGATTCCATTCATTTCCATCTGATGATGATTCCAATTGATTCATTTCAATGATTCCATTCGATTCCATTTGATGATGATTGCAATGAATTTCATTCGATGACACCATTTGAATCCATTCGATGATGAGTCCATCCATTTCAATTTCATGATAATTCCATTCTTTTCAATTCGATGGTGTTTCCATTTGATTGCATTCGATGTTGATTCCTTTAGTTTCCATTGGATCATGATTCCATTCGAGTCCATTCGATGATCATCACATTGGATTTCATTCCATAATTCTAACCGATTCCATTTGATGATGATTCCATCTGATTCCATTTGATGATTCCATTCGATTCCATTCAATGACGATTCCATTCGTTTCCATCCAATGATGATTCCATTCGATTCCTTTCAATGATTATTCCCTTCGAGTCCATTCGATGATTCCATTCGATTCCATTCGAAGATGATTGCATTCGAGTCCATGGATTATTCCATTCCATTCCATTAGATGATTCCATTCGAGTCCATTCGATGATTATCTTCGATTCCATTCAATAATTCAGTTTGATTCCGTTTGATGTTGATTCCATTTTAGTCCATTCGATGATAATTCCATTCGATTCTATGCGATGATTCCATTCCATTCCATTTGAAGATGATTAAATTCGAGACCATTCAGTGATTGCATTCAATTCATTCGATGACGATTCCATTCAATTCCGTTCAAAGATTCCATTAGGTTTCATTTGATGATGATTCCATACGATTCCATTAGATGATGACTCCTTTCATTTCCACTCGATGATGATTCCATTCGTTTCCATTCGACGATGATTCCATTTGATTCCGTTCAATGATTATTCCATTCGAGTCCATTCGATGATTCCATTCGATTCTATTCGATGATGATTGCATTCGGGTCCATGGATTATTCCATTCCATTCCATTAGATGATTCCATTCGTGGCCATTTGATGATTCTCTTCGATTCCATTCGATAATTCCGTTTGACTCCGTTTGATGTTGATTCCATTCGAGTCCATTCAATGATAATTCCATTCGATTCTATGCGATGATTTCATTCCTTTCCATTTGATGATGATTCCATTCGAGACCATTCGATGATTGCATTCAATTCATTCGATGACGATTCCATTCAATTCCATTCAATGATTCCATTAGATTCCATTTGATGATGATTCCATTCGATTCCATTCAATGATGATTCCATTCGAGTTCATTGACTATTCCATTCCATTCCATTCTATGATTCCATTCGAGTCCATTAGATGATTCTATTCGATTGCATTTGATAATTCCATTCGATTGCATTCGATATTTCCATTCGATTCCATTTGAGGATAATTCCATTTGAGTCCATTCAATGATTCTTCCATTCGATTCTATTCGGTGATTCCATTCGATTCCATTTGATGATGATTCCATTAGAGACCATTCCATGATTCCATTCAATTCCATTCAATAAAGATTGCATTCGAGTCCATTCAATGTTTCCATTCAAGTCCATTCAATGATTCCATCTGATTCCATTCAATGAATCCATTCGATTCCATTCTATGATGATTCCATTCATTTCCATCTGATGATGATTCCATTCGATTCCATTCAATGATTCCATTCGATTCCATTTGATGATGATTTCAATCAATTTCATTCGATGATTCCATTCGAATCCTTTCGATGATGAGTCCATCCATTTCAAATTCATGATAATTCCATTCCTTTCAATTCGATGGTGTTTCCATTCGATTCCATTCGATGTTGATTCCATTAGTTTCCATTGGATGATGATTCCGTTCGAGTCCATTCGATGATGATGACATTGGATTTCATTCCATAATTCTACTCGATTCCATTTGATGATGATTCCGTCTGCTTCCATTTGATGATTCCATTCGATGCCATTCGATGATGATTCCATTCGATTCCGTTCAATGATTATTCCACTCGTGTCCATTCGATGATTCCATTCGATTCCATTCGATGATGATTGCATTCGAGTCCATGGAATACTCCATTCCATTCCATTAGATGATTCCATTCGAGTCCATTCGATGATGCTCTTCGATTCCATTCGATAATTCCGTTTGATTCCGTTTGATGTTGATTCAATTCCAGTCCATTCGATGATAATTCCATTCGATTCTATGCGATGATTCCATTCTAATCCATTTGAAGATGATTCCATTCGAGACCATTCGATGATTGCATTCAATACATTCTATGACGATTCCATTCAATTCCGTTCAATGATTCCATTCGATTCCATTTGATGATGATTCCATTCGATTCCATTTGATGAAGATACCATGCGATTCCATTAGATGATGACTCCTTTCATTTCCATTCAATGAGGATTCCATTCGGTTCCATTTGATGATGATTCCTTTGAATTCCATTGGATGACAATTCCATTCAATACCAATTGATTATGGTTATTTTTGATTCCGTTTGATGATGATTATATTCGATTCCATTTGATCATGGTTCCATTCGATTCCACTCAATGATTCCATTCGATTCCATTCAATGATTATTCCATTCGAGTTCATTGACTATTCCATTCCATTCCATTCGACGATTCCAATCGAGTCCTTTCGATGATTCTATTTGATTGCATTCGATAATTCCATTCGATTGCATTCGATAATTCCATTCGATTCCATTTGAGGATAATTCCATTTGAGTCCATTCGATGATTGTTCCATTCGATTCTATTCGGTGATTCCATTCGATTCCATTTGATAAGGATTCCTTTCGAGACCATTCGATGATTCCATTCAATTCCATTCAATAATGATTTCATTCGAGTCCATTCAGTGATTGCATTCAAGTCCTCTTGATGATTCCATCTGATTCCATTCAATGAATCCATTCGATTCCATTCTATGATGATTCCATTCGTTTCCATCTGATGATGATTCCATTCGATTCCATTCAATGATTCCATTCGATTCAATTTGATGATGATTTCAATCAATTTCATTCGATGATTACATTTCGAATCCATTCGATGATGAGTCCATCCATTTCAATTTCATGATAATTCCATTCGTTTCAATTCGATGGTGTTTCCATTCGATTCCATTCGATGTTGATTCCATTAGTTTCCATTGGATGATGATTCCATTCGAGTCCATTCGATGATGATCACATTGGATTTCATTCCATAATTCTACTCAATTCCATTTGATGATGATTCCATCTGATTCCATTTGATGATTCCATTCAATTCCATTCGATGATGATTGCATTCGTTTCCATCCAATGATGATTCCATTCGATTCCGTTGAATGATTGTTCCATTCGAGTCCATTCGATGATTCCATTCGATTCCATTCGATGATGAGAGCATTCGAGTCCATGGATTATTCCATTCCATCCCATTAGATTATTTCATTCGAGTCCATTCGATGATTCTCTTCGATTGCATTTGATAATCCCGTTTGATTCCGTTTGATGTTGATTCCATTTGAGTCCATTTGATGATAATTCCATTCGATTCTATGCGATGATTCCATTCCATTCCATTTGAAGATGATTCCATTCGAGACCATTCAATGATTGCATTAAATTCATTCGATGACGATTCCATTCAATTCCGTTCAATGATTCCATTAGAATCCATTCGATGATGATTCCATTCGATTCCATTTCATGATGATTCCATGCGATTCCATTAGATGATGACTCCTTTCACTTCCATTCGATGATGATTCCATTCGTTTCCATTCGACGATGATTCCATTTGATTCCGTTCAATGATTATTCCATTCGAGTCCATTCGATGATTCCATTCGATTCTATTCGATGATGATTGCATTCGGGACCATGGATTATTCCATTCCATTCCATTAGATGATTCCATTCGTGGCCATTCGATGATTCTCTTCGATTCCATTCGATAATTCCGTTTGATTCCGTTTGATGTTGATTCCATTCGACTCCATTCAATGATAATTCCATTCGATTCTTTGCGATGATTCCATTCCTTTCCATTTGATGATGATTCCATTCGAGACCAATCGATGATTACATTCAATTCATTCGATGACGATTCCATTCAATTCCTTTCAATGATTCCATTAGATTCCATTTGATGATGATTCCATTCAAATCCATTTGATGATGATTCCATGCGATTCCATTATTTGATGACTCCTTTCATTTCCATTCAATGAGGTTTCCATTCGGTTCCATTTGATGATGATTCCTTTGAATTCCATTTGATGACAATTCCATTCAATACCAATTGATGATTGTTATTTTTGATTCCATTTGATGATTACATTCGATTCCATTTAATCGTGATTCCATTCGATTCCACTCGATGATTCCATTCGATTCCATTCAATGATGATTCCATTCGAGTTCATTGACTATTCCATTCCGTTCCATTCGATGATACCATTCGAGTCCATTCGATGATTCTACTCGATTGCATTCGATAATTCCATTCGATTGCATTTGATAATTCCATTTGATTCCAGTTGAGGATAATTCCTTTTGAGTCCATTCGATGATTGTTCCATTCGATTCTATTCGGTGATTCCATTCGATTCCATTGGATAATGATTCCATTCAATACCATTCGATGATTCCATTCTATTCCATTCAATAATGATTCCATTCGAGTCCATTCAATGATTCCATTCAAGTCCATTCGATGATTCCATCTGATTCCATTCAATGAATCCATTCGATTCCATTATATGATGATTCCATTCATTTCCATCTGATGAGGATTCCTTTCGATTCCATTCAATGATTCCATTCGATTCAATTTGATGATGATTTCAATCAATTTCATTCGATGATTCCATTCGAATCCATTCGGTGATGAATCCATCCATTTCAATTTCATGATAATTCCATTCATTTCAATTCGATGGTGTTTCCATTCGATTCCATTCGATGTTGATTCCATTAGTTTCCATTGGATGATGGTTCCATTCGAGTCCATTCAATGATGATCACATTGGATTTCATTCCATAATTCTATTCGATTCCATTTGATGATGATTCCATCTGATTCCATTTGATGATTCCATTCGATTCCATTCGATGATGATTCCATTCGTTTCCATCTGATGATGATTCCATTCGATTCCGTTCAATATTTATTCCATTCGAGTCCATTTGACGATTCCATTTAATTCCATTTGATGATGATTGCATACGAGTCCATCAATTATTCCATTCTATTTCATTAGATGATTCCATTCGAGTCCATTCGATGATTCTCTTCGATTCCATTCGATAACTCCGTTTGATTCCGTTTGATGTTGATTCCATCTGAGTCCTTTCGATGATAATTCCATTCGAATCTATACGATGATTCCTTTCCATTCCATTTGGAGATTATTCCATTCGAGACCATTCGATGATTGCATTCAATCCATTCGATGACGATTCCTTTCAATTCCCTTCAATGATTCCATTAGATTCCATTCGATGATGATTCCATTCGATTCCATTTGATGATGATTCCATGCGATTCCAATAGATGATGACTCCTTTCATTTCCATTCGATGATGTTTCCATTCGTTTCCGTTCGGCGATGATTCCATTCGATCCCGTTCAATGATTATTCCATTCGAGTTCATTTGATGATTCCATTGGGTTCTATTCGATGATGATTGCATTCGTGTCCATGGATAATTCCATTCCATTCCATTAGATGATTCCATTCGTGGCCATTCGATGATGCTCTTCGATTCCATTCGATAATTCCGTTTGATTCCGTTTGATGTTTATTCGATTTGAATCCATTCAATGATAATTCCATTCGATTCTATGCGATGATTCCATTCCTTTCCATTTGAAGATGATTCCATTCCAGACCATTCGATGATTGCATTCAATTCATTCGATGACGATTCCATTCAATTCCGTTCAATGATTCCATTCGATTCCATTTGATGATGATTCCATGCGATTCCATTAGATGATGACTCCTTTCATTTCCATTCAATGAGGATTCCATTCGGTTCCATTTGATGATGATTCCTTTGAATTCCATTTGATGACAATTCCATTCAATACCAATTGACGATGTTTATTTTTGATTCCATTTGATGATGATTACATTCGATTCCATTTGATGATGATTCCATTTGATTCCACTCGATGATTCCATTCTATTCCATTCAATGATGATTCCATTCGAGTTCATTGACTATTCCATTCCATTCCATTCGATGATTCCATTCGAGTCCATTCGATGATTCTATTTGATTGCATTCGATAATTCCATTCGGTCCATTCGATAATTCCATTTGATTCCATTTGAGAATAATTCCATTTGAGTCCATTTGATGATTGTTCCATTCGATTCTATTCGGTGATTCCATTCGATTCCAATTGATAATGATTCCATTCGAGACCATTCGATGATTACTTTCTATTCCATTCAATAATGATTCCATTCGAGTCCATTCAATGATTCCATTCAAGTCCATTCGATGATTCCTTCTGATTCCATTCAATGAATCCATTCGAATCCATTGTTTGATGATTCCATTCATTTCCATCTGAAGATGATTCCATTCGATTCCATTCAATGATTCCATTCGATTCCATTCGATGATGATTCCATTCGTTTCCATCTGATGAAGATTCCATTCGATTCCGTTCAATGTTTACTCCATTTGATTCCATTCGCTGATTCCATTCGATTCCATTTGATGATGATTGCATTCGAGTCCATGGATTATTCCATTCTATTTTATTAGATGATTCCATTCGTGGCCATTTGATGATTCTCTTCGATTCCATTCGATAATTCCGTTTGATTCCGTTTGATGTTCATTCCATTCGTTTCCTTTCAATGATTCCATTCAAGTCCATTCGATGATTCCATCTGATTCCATTCAATGAATCCATTCGATTCCATTCTATGATGATTCCATTCTTTTCCATCTGATGATGATTCCATTCGATTCCATTCAATGATTCCATTCGATTCCATTTGATGATGATTTCAATCAATTTCATTCGATGATTCCATTCGAATCCATTCGATGATGAGTCCATCCATTTCAATTTCATGATAATTCCATTCGTTTCAATTCGATGGTGTTTCCATTCGATTCCATTCGATGTTGATTCCATTAGTTTCCAGTGGATGATGATTCCGTTCGATTCCATTTGATGATGATCACATTGGATTTCATTCCATAATTGTATTTGATTCCATTTGATGATGATTCCATCTGATTCCATTTCATGATTCCATTCGATTCCATTCGATAATGATTCCATTCGTTTCCATCCGATGATGATTCCATTCGATTCCGTTCAATATTTATTCCATTCGAGTCCATTCGACGATTCCATTCGATTCCATTTGAGGATGATTGCATTCTAGTCCATGGATTATTCCATTCTATTTCATTAGATGATTCCATTCGAGTCCATTCGATGATTCTCTTCGATTCCATTCGATAATTCCGTTTGATTCCGTTTGATGTTGATTCCATTTGAGTCCATTCGATGTTAATTCCATTCGATTCTATGCGATGATTCCATTCCATTCATTTTGAAGATGATTCCATTCGAGACCATTCGATGATTGCATTCAATTCATTCGATGATGATTCCATTCAATTCCGTTCAATGATTCCATTAGATTCCATTCGATGATGATTCCATTCGATTCCATTTGATGATGATTCCATGCGATTCCATTGGATGATGACCCCTTTCATTTCCATTCTATGATGATTCCATTTGTTTCCTCCATTCGACGATGATTCCATTCGATTCCGTTCAATGATTATTCCATTCGAGTCCATACGATGATTCCATTCGATTCTATTCGATGATGATTACATTCGTGTCCATGGATTATTTCATTCCATTCCATTAGAGGATTCCATTCGAGGCCATTCGATGATTCTCTTCGATTCCATTCGATAATTCCGTTTGATTCCGTTTGATGTTGATTCCATTCGAGTCCATTCAATGACAATTCCATTCGATTCTATGCGATGATTCCATTCCTTTCCATTTGAAGATGATGCCATTCGAGACCATTCGATGATTGCATTCAATTCATTCGATGACGATTCCATTCAATTCTGTTCAATGATTCCATTAGATTCCATTCGATGATTATTCCATTCGATTCCATTTGATGATGATTCCATGCGATTCCATTAGATGATGATTCCTTTCATTTCCATTCAATGAGGATTCCATTCGGTTCCATTTGATGATGATTCCTTTGAATTCCATTTGATGACAATTCCATTCAATACCAACTGATGATGGTTATTTTTGATTCCATTTGATGATGATTACACTTGATTCCATTTGATCATGATTCTATTCGATTCCACTCGATGATTCCATTCGATTCCATTCAATGATGATTCCATTCGAGTTCATTGACTATTCCATTCCATTCCATTCGATGATTCCATTCGAGTCCATTCGATGATTCTATTTGATGGCATTCTATAATTCCATTCGATTGCATTTGATAAATCCATTCAATTCCATTTGAGGATAATGCCATTTGAGTCCATTCCATGATTGTTCCATTCGATTCCATTCGATAATTATTCCATTCGATTCCATTTGATAATGATTCTATTCGAGACCATTCGATGATTCCATTGAATTCCATTCAATAATGATTCCATTCGAGTCCATTCAATGTTTCCATTCAAGTCCATTCGATGATTCTATGTGATTCCATTCAATGAATCCATTCGATTCCATTCAATGATGATTGCATTCATTTCCATATGATGATGATTCCATTCGATTCCATTCAATGATTCCATTCGATTCCATTAGATGATGATTTCAATCAATTTCATTCGATGATTCCATTCGAATCCATTCGATGATGAGTCCTTCCTTTTCAATTTCATGATAATTCCATTCGTTTCAATTCGATGGTGTTTCCATTCGATTCCATTCGATGTTGATTCCATTAGTTTCCATTGGATGATGATTCCATTCAAGTCCGTTCGATGATGATCACATTGGGTTTCATTCCATAATTCTATTCGATTCCATTTGATGATGATTCCATCTGATTCCATTTGATGATTCCATTCCATTCAATTCGATGATGATTCCATTCGTTTCCATCCGGTGAAGACTGCATTGGATTCCGTTCAATGTTTATTCCTTTCGAGTCCATTCGACGATTCCATTCGATTCCATTCGATGATGATTCCATGCGATTCCATTTGATGATGATTCCATGCGATTCCATTAGATGATGACTCCTTTCATTTGCATTCGATGATGATTCCATTTGTTTCCGTTCGACGATGATTCCATTCGATTCCGTTCAATGATTATTCCATTCGAGTCCATTCGATGATTCCATTCGATTCTATTCGATGATGATTGCATTCGAGTCCATGGATTATTCCATTCCATTCCATTAGATGATTCCATTCGTGGCCATTCGATGATTCTTTCCGATTCCATTCGATAATTCCGTTTGATTAAGTTTGATGTTGATTCCATTCGGTCCATTCAATCATAATTCCATTCGATTCTATGCGATGATTCCATTCCTTTCCATTTGTAGATGATTCCATTCGGGACCATTCGATGATTGCATTCAATTCATTAGATGACGGTTCCATTCAATTCCGTTCAATGATACCATTAGATTTGATTTGATGATGATTCCATTTAATGATGATTCCATTCGATTCCATTTGATGATGATTCCATGCGATTCCATTAGATGATGACTCCTTTCATTTCCATTCAATGAGGATTCCATTCGGTTCCATTTGATGATGATTCCTTTGAATTCCATTTGATGACAATTCCATTCAATACCAATTGATGATGGTTATTTTTGATTCCATTTGATGATGATTACATTCGATGCCATTTGATTGTGATTCCATTCGATTCCACTCGATGATTCCATTCTATTCCATTCAATGATGATTCCATTCGAGTTCATTGACTATTCCATTCCATTCCACTCGATGATTCCATTCGAGTCCACTCGATGATTCTATTCGATTGCATTCGATAATTCTATTCGATTGCATTAGATAATTCCCTTCGATTCCATTTGAGGATAATTCCATTTGAGTCCATTCGATGATTGTTCCATTCGATTCTATTCGGTGATTCCATTCGATTCCATTTGATAATGATTCCATTCGAGACCATTCGATGATTCCATTCAATTCCATTCAATAATGATTCCTTTCGAGTCCATTCAATGATTCCATTCAAGTCCATTCGATGATCCCATCTGATTCCATTCAATGAATCCATTCGATTCCATTCAGTGATGATTCCATTCATTTCCATCTGATGATGATTCCATTCGATTCCATTCAATGATGCCATTCGATTCCATTTGATGATGATTTCAATCAATTTCATTCGATGATTCCATTCGAATCCATTCGATGATGAGTCCATCCATTTCAATTTCATGATAATTCCATTCGTTTCAATTCGATGGTGTTTCCATTCGATTCCATACGATTTTGATTCCATTAGCTTCCATTGGATGATGATTCCGCTCGAGTCCATTCGATGATGATCATATTGGATTTCATTCCATAGTTCTATTCGATTTCATTTGATGATGATTCCATCTGATTCCATTTGATGATTCCATTCGATTCCATTCGATGATGATTCCATTCGTTTCCATCCGATGATGATTCCATTCGATTCCGTTCAATGTTTATTCCATTCGAGTTCATTCGCCGATTCCACTCTATTCCATTTGATGATGATTGCATTCGAGTCCATGGATTATTCCATTCTATTTCATTAGATGATTCCATTCGAGTCCATTCGATGATTCTCTTCGATTCCATTTGATAATTCCGTTTGATTCCGTTTGATGTTGATTCCATTTGAGTCCATTCGATGATAATTCCATTCGATTCTATGCGATGATTCCATTCCATGCCATTTGAAGATGATTCCATTCGACACCATTCGATGATTGCATTCAATTCATTCGATGACGATTCCATTCAATTCCGTTCAACGATTCCATTAGATTCCATTTGATGATGATTCCATGCGATTCCGTTTGATGATGATTCCATGCGATTCCATTAGATGATGACTCCTTTCATTTCCATTCGATGATGATTCCATTCGTTTCCATTCGACGATGATTCCATTCGATTCCGTTTGATTATTCCATTCGAGTACATTCGATGATTCCATTCGATTCTATTTGATGATGATTGCATTCGGGTCAAGGGATTATTCCATTCCACTCCATTAGATGATTCCATTCGTGGCCATTCGATGATTCTCTCCGATTCCATTCAATAATTCCGTTTGATTCCGTTTGATGTTGATTCCATTCGGTCCATTCAATGATAATTCCATTTGATTCCATGCGATGATTCCATTCCTTTCCATTTGAAGATGATTCCATTCGAGACCATTCAATGATTGCATTCAATTCATTCGATGACGGTTCCATTCAATTCCTTTCAATGATGCCATTAGATTCGATTTGATGATGAGTCCATTCGATGATGATTCCATTCGATTCCATTAGATGATGATTCCATGTGATTCCATTAGATGATGACTCCTTTCATTTCCATTCAACGAGGATTCCATTCGGTTCCATTTGATGTTGATTCCTTTGAATTCCATTTGATGACAATTCCATTCAATACCAATTGATGATGGTTATTTTGATTCCATTTGATGATGATTACATTCGATTCCATTTGATCGTGATTCCATTCGATTCCACTCAATGATTCCATTCGATTCCATTCAATGATGATTCCATTCGAGTTCATTGACTATTCCATTCCATTCCATTCGATGATTCCACTCGAGTCCATTCGATGATTCTATTCGATTGCATTCGATAATTCCATTCTATTCCATTTGAGGATAATTCCATTTGGGTCCATTCGATGATTGTTCCATTCGATTCTATTCGGTGATTCCATTCGGTTCCATTTGATAATAATTCCATTCGAGACCATTGGAAGATTCCATTCAATTCCATTCAATAATGATTCCATTCGAGTCCATTTAATGATTCCATTAAAGTCCATTCGATGATTCCATCTGATTCCATTCAATGAATCCATTCGATTCCATTCTATGATGATTCCATTCATTTCCATCTGATGATGATTCCATTCGAATCCATTCGCTGATGAGTCCATCCATGGAATGGTATGGAGTGGAAAGGAATGGAATGGAAAGTAAAGGAATGGAATGCAATGGAATGCAATGGTATGGAATGGAGTCAAACCGAGTGGAATGGAATGGAATGGAATGGAATAAATGGAATGGAATGGAATGAAATGGAATGGAGTGGAATGTAATAAACACCAGTGGAATGTAATGGAAAGGAATGGAGTGGAATGGAATGGAATGGAATGGAATGGAATGGAATGGAATGGACAGGAATGGAATGGAATGGAATGGAATGGACTAGAATGGAATGGAATGGAATTAAATCAACCCAATTGGAATGGAATGGAATGCAATGGAATGGAATGGAATCAACTGGAAAGGAACGAAATGGAATGGAATGGAATGGAATGAAATGGAATGGAATGGAATGGAAAGGAATGGAATCAACCCGAGTGGAATGCAATGGAATGGAATGGAATGGAATGGAATCAACCTGAGTTGAACGGATTGGAATGGAGTGGAATGGAATGGAACGGCATGGAATGCAATGCAATCAACTAGAATGGAATGGAATGCAATGGAATGGAATAGAAAGGAATGGAATGGAATCGAATAGAATCAACCTGAGTGCAATGGAATGGAATGGAATGGAATGAATGGAATGGAATGGAATGGATACTAATACAATGGAATGGAAAGGAAACAACCCCAGTGGAAGGGAATGCAATGGAATGCAGTGGAGTGGAATGGAATGGAATGGAATGGAATAGAATGGAATCAACCCGAGTGGAATGCAATGGAATGGAATGGAATGGTATGGAAAGGAATGGAATCAACCCGAGTGGTATGTATTGGAATGGAGTGGAATGGAATGGAATGGCATGGAATGCAATGGAATCAACTAGAATGGAATGGTATGGAATGGATTGGAATGGAATCGTACGGAATCAACCTGAGTGGAAAGGAATGGAATGGAATGGAATTAAATGAATGGAATGGAATGGAATGGAAACAAATGGAATGGAATGGAAAGGAAGCAACCAGAGTGAAATGGAATGCAAAGGAATGCAATGTTATGGAAAGAAATGGAATGGAATTCAATGTAATGGAAACAAACCGAGTGGAATGTAATGGAATGGAAAGGAATGGAATGTAATGGAATGTATTGGAATCAACCCGATTCCAATGCAACGGCATGGAATGGAATGGAATGGAATGGAAGGGAACAGAATGGAAGGGAAAGTAATGGAATGAACTGGAATGTAATGGAATGGAATGGAATTTAATGGAAAGGAATGGAATGGAATGGAATCAACCCGAGTGGAGTGGAATGGAATTGAATGGAAATGAATGGAATAGAATGGAATGGAATGAAAACGAATGGAATGGAATGAACCCGAGTGGAATGGAATGGAATGGAATGGAATGGAAAGGCACGGAATGGAATGGAATGAAATGGAATGGAATGGAATGGAAAGGAATCAACCCGAGTGGAATGGAATGGAATGGAAACAAACTGAGTGGAATGGAATGGAATGGAATGCAGTGGAATGGAATGGGGTGAAAGGCATTAGAATCAACTGGAATGGAATGGAATGGAATGGATTATAATGGAATGGAATGGAATCAATCTGGGTGGTATGGAATGTAATGGAATGGATTGGAATGGAATGGAATGGAATTCAATGTAATGGAAACAAACCGAGTGGAATGTAATACAATGGAAAGGACTGGAATGTAATGGAATGGATTGGAATCAACCCGATTCCAATGCAATGGAATGGAATGTAATGGAATGGAATGGAACGGAATCAAATGGAATGGAATCAACCCGAGTGGAATGTAATGGAATGGAAACAAACAGAGTGGAATGGAATGGAATGGAATGCAATGGAATATAATGGAGTGAAAGGCATTAGAATCAACTGTAATGGAATGGAATGGAATGGATTATAATGGAATGGAATGGAATCAATCCCGTTGGTATGGAATGGAATGGAATGGAATTCAATGTAATGGAAACAAACCGAGTGGAATGTAATATAATGGAAAGGACTGGAATGTAATGGAATGGATTGGAATCTACCCGATTCCAGTGAAACGAAATGTAATGTAATTGAATGGAATGGAACGGAATGCAAAGGAATAGAATGAACTGGAATGGAATGGAATGGCATTGAATTTAACGGAATGGAAAGGAATGGAATGAAATGGAATGGAATCAACGCGAGTGGAGTGGAAAGGAATGGAATGGAAATGAATGGAATGGAAAGGAATGGAATAGAATGGAACGGAATGGAATGAACCCGAGTGGAATGGAATGGAATGGAATGGAATGGAAAGGAATGGAATGGAATGGAACGGAAAGGAATGGAATGGAATGGAACGGAATGGAATGGAGTGGAATGTAACGGCATGGAATGGAATGGAATGGAGTGGAATCAACCCGAGAGGAATGGAATGTAATGGACTGTAATGGCATGGAATGGAATGGAATGGAGTGGAATAAACCCGAGTGGAATGGAATGGAATGCTATGGACTGGAATGGAATGGAATGGAATCAATCCGAGTGGAATGGAATGGAATGGAATGGAATCAATTCGACTGCAATGGAATGGAATGGAATGGAATGGAATGGAATCAATTCGAGTGCAATGTAATGGTATAGAATGGAATGGAATGGAATAGAATCAAACACAGTGGAATAGAACGGAAACGGATGGAATGGAATGGAATGGAATGGAATGGAATGGAAAGGAATGGAATGGAATGTAACGGCATGGAATGGAATGGAATGGAGTGGAATCAACCCGAGTGGAATGGAATGGAATGGACTGTAACGGCATGGAATGGAATGGAATGGAGTGGAATAAACCCGAGTGGAATGGAATGGAATGGTATGGACTGGAATGTAATGGAATGGAATCAATCCGAGTGGAATGTAATGGAATGGAATGGAATGGAATGGAATCAACCCGAGTGCAATGGAATGGAATGGAATGGAATGGAATGGAATGGAATAGAATGGAATCAATTCGAGTGCAATGTAATTGTATAGAATGGAATGGAATGGAATCAACCAGAGTGGAGTGGAATGGAATGGAATGGAATGCAATGGAATGGAATGGAATGGAATGAAATGGCATGGAATGGAATGGAATGGAGTGTAATCAACCCGAGTGGAATGGAGTGGAATGGACTGTAATGGCATGCAATGGAATGGAATAGAGTGGAATAATCCCGAGTGGAATGGAATGGAATGCAATGCACTGGAATGGAATGGAATGGAATCAAACCGAATGGAGCGGAATGGAATGGAATGGAATGGAATCAACCCGAGTGCAAGGGAATGGAATGGAATGGAATGGAATAGAATGAAATAAACACGAGTGGAATGGAATGAAATGGAATGGAATGGAATGGAATTGAAGAGAATGGAATGGAATCAAGTCGAGTGGAAAGGAATGGGATGAAAAGGAATGGAATGGAATGGAAAGGAATGGAATGCAATGGAATGCAATATTATGGAATGGAATCAACATGAGTGGAATGGAATGGAACGGGATGGAATGGAATGAAATGGAATGAAATGCAATGGAATGGACAGGATTAGAATGGAATGGAATGGAGTAGAATTGACAGGAATGGAATGGAATGGAATGGAGTGGAATGGAATGGACTAGAATGGAATGGAATGGAATGAAATCAACACGATTGGAATGGAATGGAATGCAATGGAATGGAGTGGAATGGAATAAACACCAGTGGAATGGAATGGAAAGGAATGGAATGGAATGGACAGGAATGCAATGGAATGGAATGGAATGCAATGGAATGGAATGGAATGGAATGGAATGGAATGGACTAGATTGGAATGGAATGGAGTGAAATCAACCCGATTGGAATGGAATGGAATGCAATGTAATGGAAGGGAATCAACTGGAAAGGAATGAAATGGAATGGAATGGAATGGAATGGAATCAACCCGAGTGGAATGCAAGGGAATGGAATGGAATGGAATGGAATGAAATCAGCCCGAATGGAATGGATTGGAATAGAGTGGAATGGAATGGAACGGCATGGAATGCAATGGAATCAACTAGAATGGAATGGAATGGGATGGAATGGAATGGAATGGAGTGGAATGGACTAGAATGGAATGTAATGGAATGAAATCAACCAGATTGGAATGGAATGGAATGCAAATAAATGGAATGGAATCAACTGGAAAGGTATCAAATGGAACGGAAGGGAATGGAATGGAATGGAATGGAATTGAATGGAATGGAATCAACTCGAGTGGAAAGGAAAGGAATGGAAAGGAATGGAATGGAAAGGAAAGGAATGGAATGCAATGGAATTCAATGGTATGGAATGGAGTCAACCCGAGTGGAATGGAATGGAAAGAATGGAATTAAATGGAATAGAATGGAATGCAATGGAATGGAGAGGAATGGAATAAACACCAGTGCAATGGAATGCAATGGAATGGAGTGGAATGGAAAGGAGTGGAATGGAATGGAATGGACAGGAATGGAATGGAATGGAATGAAATCAACCCGATTGCAATGGAGTGGAAACCAACGGAATGTAATGGAATCAACTGGAAAGGAATGAAATGGAATGGAATGGAATGGAATGGAATGGAATGGAATCAACTCGAGTGGAATGCAATGGAATGGAATGGAATGGAATGGAATCATCCCGACTGGAATGGATTGGAATGGAATGGAATGGAATGGAACGGCATGGAATGCAATGGAATCAACTAGAATGGAATAGAATGGAATGGATTGGAATGGAATCGAACGGAATCAACCTCAGTGTAATGGAATGGAATGGAATGGAATGAATGGAATGGAATGGAATGGATACTAATGGAATGTAATGGAAAAGAAACAACCCGAGTGGAATGGAATGCAATGGAATGCAATGGAATGGAATGGAATGGAATGGAATTCAATGTAATGGAAAAAAACCGAGTGGAATGTACTGGAATGGAAAGGACTGGAATGTAATCGAATGGATTGAAATCAACCCGATTCCAATCCAACGGAATGGAATGGAATGGAATGGAATGGAATGGAATGGAATGGAATGGAATGGAATGGAAAGGAAAGGAAAGGAATGGAATCAACTGGAATGGAATGGAATGGAATGGAATGGAATTTAATGGAATGGAATGGAATTTAATGGAATGGAATAAAATGGAAACGAATGGAATGGAATGGACTAGAATGCAATGGAATGCAATGAACCCGAGTGACATGGAATGGAATGGAATGGAATGGAATGGAATTGAATGGAATGGAATAAACACGAGTGGAATGGAATGGAATGGAATGGAATGGAATGGAAAGGAATGGACTGGAATGGAATGGAATCGAATGGAATGGAATTGAATGGAATGGAATAAACACGAGTGGAATGGAATGGAATGGAATGGAATGGAAAGGAATGGACTAGAATGGAATGGGAAGGAAAGGAATGGAATGAAATGGAATGCAATGGTATGGAATGGAGTCAACGCGAGTGGAATGGAATGGAATGGAATGGAATGAAATGGAACGGAATGGCATGCAATTGAATGGAGTGGATTGGAATAAACAACAGTGGAATGGAATGCAATGGAATAGAGTGGAATGGAATAAACACCAGTGGAATGGAATGGAACGGAATGGAATGGAATGGAATGATCAGGAATGGAATGGAATGGAATGGAATGGAAAGGACTAGAATTGAATGGAATAGAATGAAATCAACCCGATTGGAATGGAATGGAATGCAATGGAAGGGAATAGAATCACCTGGAAAGGAATCAAAGGGAACGGAATGGAACGGAATGGAATGGAATGGAATGGAATGGAATCAAATCGAGTGGAAAGGAATGGAATGGAAAAGAAAGGAATGGAAAGGAAAGGAATGGTATGCAAAAGAATGCAAAGGTATGGAATGGAGTCAACCCGATTGGAACGGAATGGAATGGAATGGAATGAAATGGAATGGAATGGAATGGAATGCAATGGAATGGAGTGTAATGGAATAAACAGCAGTGGAATGGAATGCAATGGAATGGAGTGGAATGGAATGGAATGGAATGGAATGGAATGGACAGGAATGGAATGGAATGCAATGGAATGGAATTGAATGGAATGAAATGGAATGGACTAGATTGGAATGGAGTCAACCTGAGTGGAATGGATTGGAATGGAGTGGAATGGAATGGAACGGCATGGAATGCAATGGAATCAACTAGAATGGAATGGAATGGAATGGATTTGAATGTAATCGAACGGAATCAAACTGAGTGGAATGGAATGAATGGAATGGAATGGAATGGATACTAATGCAATGGAATGGAAAGGAAACAACTCGAGTGGAATGGAATGCAGTGGAATGCAATGGAATGGAATGGAATGGAATGGAATGGAATGGAATGGAGTGGAATAGAATCAACCCGAGTGGAATGGATTGGAATGGAGTGGAATGGAATGGAACGGCATGGAATGCAATAGAATCAACTAGAATGGAATGGAATGGAATGGATTGGAATGGAATCGAACAGAATCAACCTGAGTGGAAAGGAATGGAATGGAATGGAATTGAATGAATGGAATGGAACGGAATGGAAATTAATGGAATGGAATGGATTGGAAGCAACCCGAGTGGAATGGAATGCAACGGAATGCAAAGTTATGGAAAGGAATGGAATGCAATTCAATGTAATGTAAACAAACCGAGTGGAATGTAATGGAATGGAAAGGACTGGAATGTAATGGAATGTATTGGAATCAACACGATTCCAATGCAACGGCATGGAATGGAATGGAATGGAATGGAATTTAATGGAATGGAATGGAATGGAATTTAATGGAATGGAATGGAATGGAATTTAATGGAATGGAATGGAATGGAATGGAAT
This sequence comes from Homo sapiens, assembly GCF_000001405.40. Taxonomy (NCBI): domain Eukaryota; kingdom Metazoa; phylum Chordata; class Mammalia; order Primates; family Hominidae; genus Homo; species Homo sapiens. The sequence continues at coordinate 41,863,881 of NC_000010.11, forward strand.
CAACCCGAGTGGAGTGGAATGAAATGGAATGGAAATGAAAGGAATAGAATGGAATTGAAAAGAACGGAACGGAATGGAATGAACCCGAGTGGAATGGAAGGGAATCGAATCGAATGGAAAGGCACGGAATGGAATGGAATGGAATCAACCCGAGTGGAATGGAATGCAATGGAAACAAACTGAGTGGAATGGAATGTAATGGAATGGATTGGAATCAACCCGATTCCAATGCAACAGAATGGAATGTAATGGAATGGAGTGGAACGGAATGGAATGGAATGGAAAGGAATGGAATGAACTGGAATGGAATGGAATAGCATGGAATTTAACGGAATGGAATGGAATGGAATAAACGCGAGTGGAGTGGAATGGAATGGAAAGGAAATGAATGGAATGGAATGGAATGGAACGGAACGGAATGGAATGAACCCGAGTGGAATGGAATGAAATGGAATGGAATGCAATGGAATGGAATGGAATGGAATGGAATGGAATCTACCCGAGTGGAATGGAATGGAAGGGAATCTGATGGAATGGAATGGAACGGAATGAACTGGAAAGGAACGGAATGCAATGGAATGGAGTGGAATGGAATAAACACCAGTGGAATGGAATGGAAAGGAATGGAATGGAATGGACAGGAAAGGAATGGAATGGAATGGCATGGAATTGAATCGAATGGAATGGACTAGAATGGAATGGAATGGAGTGAAATCAACCCGATTGGAATGGAATGGAATGCAATGTAATGGAATGGAATCAACAGGAAAGGAATGAAATGGAATGGAATGGAATGGAATGGAATGGAATGGAATGGAATGGAATGGAATCAACCTGAGTGGAATGCAATGGAATGGAATGGAAGGGAATGGAATGAAATCAGCCCGACTGGAATGGATTGGAATAGAGTGGAATGGAATGGAACGGCATGGAATGCAATGGAATCAACTAGAATGGATTGGAATGGGATGGAATGGACAGGAATGGAATGGAATGGAATGGAGTGGAATGGAATAGAATGGAACGTAATGGAATGAAATCAACCCGATTGGAATGGAATTGAATGCAATTAAATGGAATGGAATAAAGTGGAAAGGAATCAAATGGAACGGAATGGAATGGAATGGAATGGAATGGAATAGAATGGAATGGAATCAACTCGAGTGGAAAGGAAAGGAAGGGAAAGGAATGGAATGGAAAGGAAAGGAATGGAATGCAATGGAATTCAGTGGTATGGAATGGAGTCAATCCGAGAGGAATGGAATGGAAAGAATGGAATTAAATGGAATAGAATGCAATGCAATGGAAGGGAGAGGAATGGAATAAACACCAGTGGAATGGAATGCAATGGAATGGAGTGGAATGGAATGGAGTGGAATGGAATGGAATGGAATGGACAGGAATGGAATGGAATGGAATGAAATCAACCCGATTGGAATGGAGTGGAATGCAACGGAATGGAATGGAATCAACTGGAAAGGAATGAAATGGAATGGAATGGAATGGAATGGAATGGAATCAACTCGAGGGGAATGGAATGGAATGGAAAGGAATGAAATGGAATGGAATGAAATGCAATGGAATGGAGTGGAGTGGAATAAACAGCAGTGGAATGGAATGGAATGGAATGGAATGGAATGGACAGGAATGAAATGGAATGGAATGGAATGGAATGGAATGGAATGGAATGGAATAGAATGGAATGGAATGGAATTAAATCAACCCGATTGGAATGGAGTGGAATGTAATGGAATGGAATGGAATCAACTGGAAAGGAATGAAATGAATGCAATGGAATGGAATGGAATGGAATGGAATGGACAGGAATGAAATGGAATGGAATGGTATGGAATGGAATGGAATGGAATGGAATGGAATGGAATGGAATGGAATGGACTAGAATGGAATGGAATGGAATGAAATCAACCCGATTGGAATGGAGTGGAATGTAATGGAATGGAATGGAATCAACTGGAAAGGAATGAAATGAATGCAATGGAATGGAATGGAATGGATTGGAATGGAATGGAATGGAATGGAATCAACCTGAGTAGAATGCAATGGAATGGAATGGAATGCAGTGGAATGGAATCAACACGAGTGGAATGGAATGGAACAGAATGGAATCAACCCGAGTGGAAAGTAATGGAATGGAATGGAATGGAATGGAATGGAAGGGAATAAACAAGAGTGGAAAGGAATCGAATGGAATGAAATGGCATGGAATGGAATGGAATAAACACGAGTGGAATGGAATCGAATGGAATGAAATGGCATGGAATGGAATGGAATGCAATGGAATCAACTCTAGTGGAAAGGAATGGATTAGAAAGGAATGGAATGGAAAGGAAAGGAATGGAATGCAATGGAATGCAATGGTATGGAATGGAGTCAACCCGAGTGGAATGGAAGGGAATGAAATGGAATGCAATGGGATGCAATGGAATGGAGGGGAATGGAATAAACACCAGTGGAAAGGAATTGAATGCAATGGAATGGAATGGACCAGAATGGAATGGAATGGAATAGATTGGAATGGAATGGAATGGAATGGAGTGGACAAGAATGCAATGGAAAGGAAAGGAATGAAATCAACCCGAGTGGAATGGATTGGAATAGAGTGGAATGGAATTTAAAGGCATGGAAAGCAATGGAATCAACTAGAATGGAATGGAATGGAATGGAATGGAATGGACAGGAATGGAATTGTATGGAATGGAATAGAATGGAGTGGAATGGACTAGAATGGAATGGAATGGAATGAAATCAACCGGATTGGAATGGAATGGAATGCAACGGAATGGAATGGAATAAACTGGAAAGGAATCAAATGGAACGGAATGGAATGGAATGGAATGGAATGGAATGGAATAGAATGGAATGGAATCAACTCGAGGGGAAAGTAATGGAATGGCAAGGAATGGAATGGAAAGGAAAGGAATAGAATGCAAAGGAATGCAATGGTATGGAATGGAATCAACCCGAGTGGAATGGAATGGAATGGAATGGAATGGAACGCAATGGATTGGAGTGGAATGGAATAAACACTAGTGGAATGGAATGGACAGGAATGGAATGGAATGGAATGGAATGGAATGGACAGGAATGGAATGGAATGGAATGGACTAGAATGGAATGGAATGGAATGAAATCAACCCGATTGGAATGGAATGGAATGCAATGGAAGGTAATGGAATCAACAGGAAACGAATGAAGTGGAGTGGAATGGAATGGAATGGAATGGAATGGAATGGAATGGAATTAACCGAGTAGAATGCTATGGAATGGAATGAAATGGAATGGAATGAAATCAACCCTAATGGAATGGATTGGAATAGAATGGAATGGAATGGAATGGCATGGAATGCAATGGAATCAACTAGAATGGAATGGAATGGAATGAAATGGACAGGAATGGAATGGAATGGAATGGAATGGAATGGAATGGAATCGAATGGAATGGAATGGAATGGACTGCAATGGACTAAAATGGAATGGAATGGAATGAAATCAACCCGATTGGAATGGAATGGAATGCAATGGAATGGGATGGAATCAACTGGAAAGGAATGAAATGGAATGGAATGGAATGGAATGGAATGGAAACAACCCGAGTGGAATGCAATTGAATGGAATGGAATGGAATGGAATGAAATCAACTCGAGTGGAATGGATTGGAATGGAGTGGAATGGAATGGAACGGCATGGAATGCAATGGAATCAACTACAATGGAATGGAATGGAATGGATTGGAATGGAATCGAACGGAATCAACCTGAGTGGAATGGAATGGAATGGAAAGAATGGAATGGAATGGAATGGAAACTAAAGGAATGGAATGGAAAGGAAACAACCCGAGTGGAATGGAATGCAATGGAATGCAATGGAATGGAATGGAATGGAATGGAAAGGAAACAATCCGAGTGGAATGGAATGCAATGGAATGGAATGGAATGGAATGGAATGGAATTCTGTGTAATGGAAACAAACCGAGTGGAATATAATGGAATGAAAATTACTGGGATGTAACGGAATGGATTGGAATCAACCCGATTACAATGCAACGGAATGGAATGGAAGGGAATGGAATGCAATGGAAAACAATGGAATGAACTGGAATGCAATGAAATTTAATGGAATGGAATGGAACGGAATGGAATCAACCCGAGTGGAGTCGAATGGAATGGAAAGTAAATGAATGGAATGGAATGGAATGGAACGAAATGAAATGAACCCGAGTAGAATAGAATGGAATGGAATGGAATGGAATGGAATGGAATCAACCCGAGTGAATGGAATGGAAATGAATGGAATGGAATGGAAAGGAATGGAATGAAATCAACCCGAGTGGAATGCAATGGAATGAAATGGAGTGGAATGGAAAGGAATTGAGTGGAATGGAATGTAATGGAATAAACCCGAGTGGAATGGAATGGAATGGAATGGAATGGAATGGAATGGAATAAATACGAGTGGAATCGAATGGAATGGAATGGAATAAATACGAGTGGAATGGAATGGAATGGAATGGTATAGAATGGAATGGAATCAACTCGAGTGGAAAGGAATGTAATGGAAAGGAATGGAATGGAATGGAATGGAATGGAATGCAATGGAATGCACGGGTATGGAATGGAGTCAATGCGAGTGGAATGGAATGGAATGGAATTGAATGCCATGGAATGGAATGGAATATAATGGAATGGAGTGGAATGGAATAAACACCAGTGGAATGGAATGGAATGGAATGGAATGGAATGGAATGGAATGAAAAGGACAGGAATGGAATGGAAAGGAATGGAATGGAATGGCACGGAATGGATAGGAATGGAATGGAATCAACATGACTGGCATGGAATGGAATGGAAAGGAATGGAATGGAATGGAATGGAATGGTATGGAATCAGCCCGAGTGGAATGGAATGGAATGGAATGGAATGGAACGGAACGTAAAGTAATGAACCCGAGTAGAATGGAACGGAATGGAATGGAATGGAATGGAATCAACCCGAGTGGAATGGAATGGAATGGAATGGAATAAACACGAATGGAGTGGAATGGAATGGAATGGAATGGAATGGAATGGAATCAACTCGAGTGGAATGAAATGTAACGTCATGGAATGGAATGGAATGGAATGGAAAGGAATGGAATGGAATGGAATAGAATGGAATCAATTCGAGTGCAATGTAATGGAATAGAATGGAATCAATTCGACTGCAATGTAATAGTATAGAATGGAATGGAATGGAATGGAATGGAATCAACCAGAGTGGAATGTTATGGACAGGAATGGAATGGAATGGAATGGACTGGAATGGAATGGAAGGGAATGGAATGGAAATGACTAGAATGGAATGGAATGGAATGAAATAAACCCGATTGGAATGGAAAGGAATGCAATGGAATGGAATGGAATCAACTGGAAAGGAATGGAATGGAATGGAATGGAATGGAATGGAATGGAATGGAAGGCATTAGAATCAACTGGAATGGAAGGGAAAGAAATGAAATGGAATGGAATGGAATGGAATGGAATGGAATTGAATCAACCCCAGTGGAATGGAGTGGAATGGAATGGATTATAATGGAATGGAAAGGAATCAATCCGGGTGGAATGGAATGGAATGGAATGGAGTGGAATGGAATGGAATGGAATGGAATGGAACGGAATGGAATGGAATCACCCCAATGGAAGGGAACGGAATGGAATGGAAAGGAATGGAAAGGAATGGAAAGGAATGGAATGCAATGGAATCAACCCGAATGGACTGGAATGGAATGGAATGGAATGGAATGGAATGGAATGGAATCAACTCAAGTGGAATGGAAATGAATGGAATGGAACGGAAAGGAATTTAATGGAATGGAATGGAATCAACCCACGTGGAATGGAATGGAATGGAATGCAATGGAATCAACCCGAGTGAATGGAATGGAAATGAATGGAATGTAATGGAAAGGAATGGAATGAAATGGAGTGGAATGGAAAGGAATTGAGTGGAATGGAATGTAATGGAATCAACCCGAATGGAATGGAATGGAATGGAATGCAATGGAATGGAATGGAATGGAATGGAATGGAAAGGAATGGAATAAATACGAGTGGAATGGAATGGAATTAAATGGAATAGAATTGAATGGAATCAACTCGAGTGGAAAGTAATGTAATGGAAAGGAATGGAATGGAATGGAAAGGAATGGAATGCAATGGAATGCACGGGTATGGAATGGAGTCAATCCGAGTGGAATGGAATGGAAAGGAATTGAATGCAATGGAATGGAATTGAATTCAATGGAATGGAATGGAATGCAATGGAATGGATTGGAATGGAATAAACACCAGTGGAATGGAATGGAATGGAATGGAATGGAATGGAATGAAAAGGATAGGATTGGAGTGGAATGGCACGGAACGGATAGGAATGGAATGGAATCAACATGACTGGCATGGAAGGGAATGGAAAGGAATGGAATGGAATGGAATGGAATGGAATAGAATGGAATGGTATGGAATCAGCCCAAGTAGAATGGAATGGAATGGAATGGAATGGAATGGAATGGAATGGAACGGAACGAAAAGTAATGAACCCGAGTAGAATGGAATGGAATGGAATGGAATGGAATGGAATCAACCCGAGTGGAATGGAATGGAATGGAATGGAATAAACACGAATGGAATGGAAAGGAATGGAATGGAATGGAATGGAATGGAATGGAATCAACTAGAGTGGAATGAAATGTAACGTCATGGAATGGAATGGAATGGAATGGAATGGAATGGAATGGAATGGAATAGAATGGAATCAATTCGAGTGCAATGTAATGGAATAAAATGGAATCAATTCTACTGCAATGTAATGGTATAGAATGGAATGGAATGGAATGGAATCAAGCAGAGTGGAATGGAATGGAAAGGAATGGAATGGAATGGAATGGAATGGAATAGAATGGAATGGAATGGAATGGCATGGAATGTAACGGCATGGAATGCAATGGAATGGAGTGGAATCAACCCGAGTGGAATGGAATGGAATGGACTGTAACGGCATGGAATGGAATGGAATGGAATGGACTGGAAACAAACCGAGTGGAATGGAATGGAATGGAAAGGAATGGAATGGAATCAACCCGAGTGGAATGGACTGGAATGTAATGGAATGGAATCAACCAGAGTGGAAAGGAATGGAATGGAAAGCAATAGAATGGAATGGAAGGGAATGGAATGCAACGGAATGCAATGGTATGGAATGGAGTCAACACGAGTGGAATGGAATGGAATGGAATCGAATGCAATGGAATGGAATGGAATGCAATGGAATGGAGTGGAATGGAATAAACACCAGTGGAATGGAATTGAATGGAATGGAATGGAATGGACTAGAATGGAATGGAATGGAATGAAATCAACCCGATTGGAATGGAATCGAATGGAATGGAATGGAATGGAATCACCTGGATAAGAATGAAATGGAATGGAATGGAATGGCATTGAATGCAAAGGAAAGGAATGGAATGAAATCAACCCGAGTGGAATGGATTGGAATAGAGTGGAATGGAATTTAAAGGCATGGAAAGCAATGGAATCAACTAGAATGGAATGGAATGGAATGGAATGGAATGGAATGGAATGGACAGGAATGGAATTGTATGGAATGGAATAGAATGGAGTGGAATGGACTAGAATGGAATGGAATGGAATGAAATCAACCGGATTGGAATGGAATGGAATGCAACGGAATGGAATGGAATAAACTGGAAAGGAATCAAATGGAACGGAATGGAATGGAATGGAATGGAATGGAATAGAATGGAATGGAATCAACTCGAGGGGAAAGTAATGGAATGGCAAGGAATGGAATGGAAAGGAAAGGAATAGAATGCAAAGGAATGCAATGGTATGGAATGGAATCAACCCGAGTGGAATGGAATGGAATGGAATGGAATGGAACGCAATGGATTGGAGTGGAATGGAATAAACACTAGTGGAATGGAATGGACAGGAATGGAATGGAATGGAATGGAATGGAATGGACAGGAATGGAATGGAATGGAATGGAATGGACTAGAATGGAATGGAATGGAATGAAATCAACCCGATTGGAATGGAATGGAATGCAATGGAAGGTAATGGAATCAACAGGAAACGAATGAAGTGGAGTGGAATGGAATGGAATGGAATGGAATGGAATGGAATGGAATTAACCGAGTAGAATGCTATGGAATGGAATGAAATGGAATGGAATGAAATCAACCCTAATGGAATGGATTGGAATAGAATGGAATGGAATGGAATGGCATGGAATGCAATGGAATCAACTAGAATGGAATGGAATGGAATGAAATGGACAGGAATGGAATGGAATGGAATGGAATGGAATGGAATGGAATGGAATGGAATGGACTGCAATGGACTAAAATGGAATGGAATGGAATGAAATCAACCCGATTGGAATGGAATGGAATGCAATGGAATGGGATGGAATCAACTGGAAAGGAATGAAATGGAATGGAATGGAATGGAATGGAAACAACCCGAGTGGAATGCAATTGAATGGAATGGAATGGAATGGAATGAAATCAACTCGAGTGGAATGGATTGGAATGGAGTGGAATGGAATGGAACGGCATGGAATGCAATGGAATCAACTACAATGGAATGGAATGGAATGGATTGGAATGGAATCGAACGGAATCAACCTGAGTGGAATGGAATGGAATGGAAAGAATGGAATGGAATGGAATGGAAACTAAAGGAATGGAATGGAAAGGAAACAACCCGAGTGGAATGGAATGCAATGGAATGCAATGGAATGGAATGGAATGGAATGGAAAGGAAACAATCCGAGTGGAATGGAATGCAATGGAATGGAATGGAATGGAATGGAATGGAATTCTGTGTAATGGAAACAAACCGAGTGGAATATAATGGAATGAAAATTACTGGGATGTAACGGAATGGATTGGAATCAACCCGATTACAATGCAACGGAATGGAATGGAAGGGAATGGAATGCAATGGAAAACAATGGAATGAACTGGAATGCAATGGAATTTAATGGAATGGAATGGAACGGAATGGAATCAACCCGAGTGGAGTCGAATGGAATGGAAAGTAAATGAATGGAATGGAATGGAATGGAAAGAAATGAAATGAACCCGAGTAGAATAGAATGGAATGGAATGGAATGGAATGGAATCAACCCGAGTGAATGGAATGGAAATGAATGGAATGGAATGGAAAGGAATGGAATGAAATCAACCCGAGTGGAATGCAATGGAATGAAATGGAGTGGAATGGAAAGGAATTGAGTGGAATGGAATGTAATGGAATAAACCCGAGTGGAATGGAATGGAATGGAGTAGAATGGAATGGAATAAATACGAGTGGAATCGAATGGAATGGAATGGAATAAATACGAGTGGAATGGAATGGAATGGAATGGAATAGAATGGAATGGAATCAACTCGAGTGGAAAGGAATGTAATGGAAAGGAATGGAATGGAATGGAATGGAATGGAATGCAATGGAATGCACGGGTATGGAATGGAGTCAATGCGAGTGGAATGGAATGGAATGGAATTGAATGCCATGGAATGGAATGGAATGGAGTGGAATGGAATAAACACCAGTGGAATGGAATGGAATGGAATGGAATGGAATGGAATGGAATGAAAAGGACAGGAATGGAATGGAAAGGAATGGAATGGAATGGCACGGAATGGATAGGAATGGAATGGAATCAACATGACTGGCATGGAATGGAATGGAAAGGAATGGAATGGAATGGAATGGAATGGTATGGAATCAGCCCGAGTGGAATGGAATGGAATGGAATGGAATGGAACGGAACGTAAAGTAATGAACCCGAGTAGAATGGAATGGAATGGAATGGAATGGAATGGAAACAACCCGAGTGGAATGGAATGGAATGGAATGGAATAAACACGAATGGAATGGAATGGAATGGAATGGAATGGAATGGAATGGAATGGAATCAACTCGAGTGGAATGAAATGTAACGTCATGGAATGGAATGGAATGGAATGGAAAGGAATGGAATGGAATGGAATAGAATGGAATCAATTTGAGTGCAATGTAATGGAATAGAATGGAATCAATTCGACTGCAATATAATAGTATAGAATGGAATGGAATGGAATGGAATGGAATCAACCAGAGTGGAATGTTATGGACAGGAATGGAATGGAATGGAATGGACTGGAATGGAATGGAATGGAATGGAATGGAAATGACTAGAATGGAATGGAATGGAATGAAATAAACCCGATTGGAATGGAAAGGAATGCAATGGAATGGAATGGAATCAACTGGAAAGGAATGGAATGGAATGGAATGGAATGGAATGGAATGGAATCAACTCGAGTGGAATGGATTGAAATGGAGTGGAATGGAATGGAACGGCATGGAATGCAATGGAATCAACTAGAATGGAATGGAATGTAATGGATTGAAATGGAATCGAACGGAATCAACCTGAGTGGAATGGAATGGAATGGAATGGAATGGAATGGAATGGAAACTAAAGGAATGGAATGGAAAGCAAACAACCCGAGTGGAATGGAATGCAATGGAATGCAATGGAATGGAATGGAATGGAATGGAATTCAGTGTAATGGAAACAAACCGAGTGGAATATAATTCAATGAAAAGGACTGGGATGTAATGGAATGGATTGGAATCAACCCGATTGCAATGCAACGGAATGGAATGGAAGGGAATGGAATGGAATGGAAAGGAATGGAATGAACTGGAATGCAATGGAATTTAATGGAATGGAATGGAACGGAATGGAATCAACCCGAGTGGAGTGGAATGGAATGGGAAGGAAATGAATGGAATGGAATGGAATGGAATGGAATGGAATGGAACCGAATGAAATGAAATGAACCCGAGTAGAATGGAATGGAATGGAATGGAATGGAATGGAATGGAATGGAATGGAATCAACCCAAGCGGAATGGAATGGAATGGAATGGAATGGAATGGAATGGAATGGAATGGAACGAAAAGGAATGAAGGCGAGTAGAATTGAATGTAACGGAATGGAATGGAATCAACCCGAGTGGAATGGAATGGGATGGAATGGAATAAACACGAATGGAATGGAATGGAATGGAATGGAATGGAATGGAATGGAATGGTACGGAATGGAATGGAATCAACTCGAGTGGAATGAAATGTAACGTCATGGAATGGAATGGAATGGAATGGAATGGAATCAACCCGACTGCAATGGAATGGAATGCAATCATCCCGAGTGGAATGGAATGGAATGGAATGGAATACAATGGAATGGAATGGAATGGAATACAATGGAATGGAATGGAATGGAAGGCATAAGAATCAACTGGAATGGAATGGAAAGAAATGAAATGGAATGGAATGGAATGGAATGGAATCAACCCCAGTGGAAAGGAGTGGAATGGAATGGATTAAAATGGAATGGAAAGGAATCAATCCGGGTGGAATGGAATGGAATGGAATGGAGTGGAATGGAATGGAATGGAATGGAATGGAATGGAATGGAATGGAATCAAACCGAATAGAATGGAATGGAATGGAATGGAAATGAATGGAAAGGAATGGAAAGGAATGGAATGGAATGGAATCAACCCGAATGGACTGGAATGGAATGGAACGGAATGGAATGGAATGGAATGGAATCAACTCAAGTGGAATGGAAATGAATGGAATGGAACGGAAAGGAATGTAATGGAATGGAATGGAATCAACCCACGTGGAATGGAATGGAATGGAATGCAATGGAATCAACCCGAGTGAATGGAATGGAAATGAATGGAATGGAATGGAAAGGAATGGAATGAAATCAACCCGACTGGAATGCAATGGAATGAAATGGAGTGGAATGGAAAGGAATTGAGTGGAATGGAATGTAATGGAATCAACCCGAGTGGAATGGAATGGAATGGAATGGAAAGGAATGGAATAAATACGAGTGGAATGGAATGGAAAGGAATGGAATAGAATGGAATGGAATCAACTGGAGTGGAAAGGAATGTAATGGAAAGGAATGGAATGGAATGGAAAGGAATGTGATGCAATGGAATGCACGGGTATGGAATGGAGTCAATCCGAGTGGAATGGAATGGAATGGAATTGAATGCAATGGAATGGAATGGAATGCAATGGAATGGAGTGCAATGGAATAAACACCAGTGGAATGGAATTGAATGGAATGGAATGGAATGGAATGGAATGGAATGGAATGGAATGGAATGAAAAGGACAGGAATGGAATGGAAAGGAATGGAATGGATTGGCACGGAATGTATAGGAATGGAATGGAAACAACATGACCGGCATGGAATGGAATGGAAAGGAATGGAATGGAATGGAACGGAACGAAAAGTAATGAACCCGATTAAAATGGAATGGAATGGAATGGTATGGAATGGTATCAACCCGAATGGAATGGAATGGAATGGAATGGAATAAACACGAATGGAATGGAATGGAATGGAATGGAATGGAATCAACTCAAGTGGAATGAAATGTAACGTCATGGAATGGAATGGAATGGAATGGAATGGAATGGAATGGAATGGAATAGAATGGAATCAATTCGACTGCAATGTAATGGTATAGAATGGAATGGAATCGAATGGAATGAAATCAACCAGAGTGGAATGTTATGGACAGGAATGGAATGGAATAGAATGGACTGGAATGGAATGGAATGGAATGGAATGGAATTGACTAGAATGGAATGGAATGGAATGAAATCAACCCGATTGGAATGGAAAGGAATGCAATGGAATGGAATGGAATCAACTGGAAAGGAATGAAATGGAATGGAATGGAATGGAATGGAATGGAATGGAATGGAATCAACTGGAAAGGAATGGAATGGAATGGAATGGAATGGAATGGAATGGAATGGAATGGAATGCAATGGAATCAACTCGAGTGGAATGGATTGGAATGGAGTGGAATGGAATGGAACCGCATGGAATGCAACGGAATCAACTAGAATGGAATGGAATGGAATGGATTGAAATAGAATCGAACGGAATCAACCTGAGTGGAATGGAATGGAATGGAATGGATGGAATTGAATGTAATGGAAACTAATGGAATGGAATGGAAATGAAACAACCAGAGTGGAATGGAATGCAATGGAACGCAATGGAATGGAATTCAGTGTAATGGAAACAAACCGAGTGGAATATAATGGAATGAAAAGGACTGGGATGTAATGGAATGGATTGGAAACCACCCGATTAGAATGCAACGGAATGGAATGGAATGGAATGGAATGGAAAGGAATGGAATGAACTGGAATGCAATGGAATTTAATGGAATGGAATGGAACGGAATGGAATCAACCCGAGTGGAGTGGAATGGAATGGAAAGGAAATGAATGCAATGGAATGGAATGGAATAGAACGGAACGAAATGAAATGAACCCGAGTAGAATGGAATGGAATGGAATGGAATCAACCCTAGTGGAATGGAATGGAATGGAATGGAATAGAATGGAATGGAATGGATTGGAAGGAATGGAACGGAGCGAAAAGGAATGAAGCCGAGTGGAATGGAATGGAATGGAATGGAATGGAATGGAATGGAATGCAATGGAATTGAATCAACTAGAGTGGCATGAAATGTAACGTCATGGAACGGAATGGAATGGAATGGAATGGAATGGAATGGAATGGAATGAACCCGACTGGAATGGAATGGAATACAATCATCCCGAGTGGAATGGAATGGAATGGAATGGAATACAAAGCAATGGAATGGAATGGAAGGCATTAGAATCAACTGCAATGGAAGGGAAAGAAACGGAATGGAATGGAATGGAATGGAATGGAATGGAATGGAATGGAATGGAATAAACCCCAGTGGAATTGAGTGGAATGGAATGGATTATAATGGAATGGAAAGGAATCAATCTGGGTGGAATGGAATGGAATGGAATGGAGTGGAATGGAATGGAATGGAATGGAACGGAATGGAATGGAATCAACCCGAATGGAATGGAATGGAATGGAATGTAAAGGAATGGAAAGGAATGGAAAGGAATGGAATGGAATGGAATCAAACTGAATGGACTGGAAAGGAATGGAATGGAATGGAATCAACACAAGTGGAATGGAAATGAATGGAATGGAACGGAAAGGAATGTAATGGAATGGAATGGAATCAACCCAAGTGGAATGGAATGGAATGGAATGCAATGGAGTCAACCCGAGTGAATGGAATGGAAATGAATGGAATGGAATGGAAAGGAATGGAATGGAATCAACCCGAGTGGAATGGATTGGAATGCAGTGGAATGGAATGGAACGGCATGGAATGCAATGGAATCAACTAGAATGGAATCAACTGGAATGGATTGGAATGGAATCGAATGGAATCAAACAGAGTGGAATGGAATGGAATGGAATGGAATGAATGGAATGGAATGGCATGGACAAGATTGGAATGGAATTGAATGGAACGGAATGCTGTGGAATGGAATGGAATCAACTGGAAAGGAATGAAATGGAATGGAATGGAATGGAATGGAATCAACCCGAGTGGAATGCAATGGAATGGAATGGAATAAAATCAACCCGAGTGGAATGCATAGGAATAGAGTGGAATGGAAAGGAACGGCATGGATTGCAATGGAATCAACTAGAATGGAATGGAATGGAATGGAATGGAATGGAATCAGTGGAATGGACTAGAATGGAATGGAATTGAATGAAAAAAACCCGATTGGAATAGAATGGAATGCAATGGAATTGAATGGAAGCAACTGGAAAGGAATCAAATGGAATGGAATGGAATTGAATGGAATGGAATTGAATGGAATGGAATGCAATGGAATGGAATCAACCCGAGTGGAATGCAACAGAATGGAATTGAATGGAATGGAATGGAATCAACCCGAGTGGAGTCGAAAGGAATGGAAAGGAAATGAATGGAATGGAATGGAATGGAATGGAACGGAATGGAATACACCTATTGGAATGGAATGGAATGGAATGGCATGTAATAAACAGGATTGGAATGGAATGGAATGGAATGGAATGCAAAGGAATGGAATAGAATGTAATGGAATCAACTCGAGTGGAAAGGAATGGAATGGAAAGGAATGGAATGGAAAGGAAAGAATGGAATGCAATAGAATGCAATGGTATGGAATGGAGTCAACCCGAGTGGAATGGAATGGAATGGAATGGAATGGAATGAAATGGAAAGGAATGGAATGCAATGGAATGGATTGGAATGGAATAAACAGCAGTGTAATGGAATGGAATGGAAGGGAATGGAATGGACAGGAATGGAATGGAATGGAATGGAATGGAATGGAATGGAATGGAATGGACTAGAATGGAATGGAATGGAATGAAATCAACCAGATTGGAATGGAATGGAATGCAATGGAATGGAATCAACCCGAGTGGAACGGAATGGAATGGAATGGAATGGAATGGAATGGAATGGAATGGAATGGAATGGAATGGACTAGAATGGAATGGAATGGAATGAAATCAACCAGATTGGAATGGAATGGAATGCAATGGAATGGAATCAACCCGAATGGAATGGAATGGAATGGAATGGAATGGAATGGAATGGAATGGAATGGAATGGAATGGACTAGAATGGAATGGAATGGAATGAAATCAACCAGATTGGAATGGAATGGAATGCTATGGAATGGAATCAACCCGAGTGGAACGGAATGGAATGGAATGGAATGGAATGGAATGGAATGGAATAAACCCGAGTGGAATGTAATGGAATGGAATGGAATGGAAAACAAGAGTGGAATGGAATGGAATGGATTGGAATGGAATGCAATGGACTGGAAAGGAATGGAATGGAAAGGAAAGGAATGGAATGCAATGGAATGCAATGGTATGGAATGGAGTAAACCCGAGTGGAATTGAATGCAATGTAATGTAATGTAATGGAATGGAATGGAATGCAATGGAATGGAGTGGAATGGAATATACACCAGTGGAAAGGAATGGAATGCAATGGAATGGAATGGACAGGAATGGAATGGAATGGAAAGGATTGGAATGGAATGGAATGGAATGGAATGGAGTGCAATGAAATCAACCCGATTGGAATGGAATGGAATGCAATGGAATGGAATGGAATCAACTGGATATGAATCAAATGGAAAGGAATGGAATGGAATGGAATGGAATGGAATGGAATTAACCCCAGTGGAATGCAGTGGAACGGAATGGAATGGAATGGAATGAAATCAACCCGAATGGAATGGATTGGAATAGAGTGGAATGGAATGGAACGGCATGGAATGTAATGGAATCAACTAGAATGCAATGGGATGGAATGGAAAGGAATGGAATGAAGTGGAATGGAATGGAATGGAATGGAATTTAATGGAATGGAATGGAATGGAATGGAATGGAATCAACCCGAGTGGAGTGGAATGGAATGGAGTGGATATAAATGGAATGGAATGCAATGGAATGGAATGGAATGGATTGGAATGGAATGGATCTGCCCAATTGGAATGGAATGGAATGGAATGGAATGGAATGGAATGGAGTGGCATGTAATAAACAGGATTGGAATGGAATGGAATGGAATGGAATGGAAAGGAATGGAATAGAATGTAATGGAATCAACTCGAGTGGAAAGGAATGGAATGGAAAGGAATGGAATGGAAAGGAAAGAATGGAATGCAATAGAATGCAATGGTATGGAATGGAGTCAACCCGAGTGGAATAGAATAGAATGGAATGGAATGAAATGGAATGGAATGGAATGCAATGGAATGGAGTGGAATGTAATAAACAGCAATGGAATGGAATGGAATGGAAGGGAATGGAATGGAATGGAATGGATTGGAATGAAATGGACTAGAATGGAATGGAATGGAATGAAATCAACCAGATTGGAATGGAATGGAATACAATGGAATGGAATGCAATCAACTGGAAAGGAATGAAATGAATGGAATGGAATGGAATGGAATGGATTGGAATGGAATGGAATGGAATGGAATGGAATGGAATAAACCCGAGTGGAATGTAAAGGAATGGAATGCAATGGAATGCAATGGAATGGAATCAACCAGAGTGGAATGGAATGGAATGGAATAAACCCGAGTGGAATGTAATGGAATGGAATGGAATGGAATGGAATGGAATGGAATGGAATGGAATGGAATGGAATAAACAAGATTAGAATGGAATGGAATGGATTGGAAAGGAATGGAATGGAAAGGAAAGGAATGGAATGCAATGGAATGCAATGGTATGGAATGGAGTAAACCCGAGTGCAATGGAATGCAATGGAATGGAATGGAATGGAATGGACTGGAATGCAATGGCATGGAGTGGAATGGAATAAACACCAGTGGAAAGTAATGGAATGCAATGGAATGGAATGGAATGGAATGGATTGGAATGGAATGGAATGGAATGGAATGGAATGGAGTGCAATGAAATCAACCCGATTGGAATGGAATGGAATACAATGGAATGGAATGGAATCAACTGGAAAGGAATCAAATGGAACGGAATGGAATGGAATGGAATGGAATGGGATGGAATTACCCCGAGTGGAATGCAGTGGAATGGAATGGAATGGAATGAAATCAACCCGAATGGAATGGATTGGAATAGAGTGGAATGGAATGGAACGGCATGGAATGCAATGGAATCAACTAGAATGGAATGGGATGGAATGGAAAGGATTGGAATGAACTGGAATGGAATGGAATGGAATGAAATTTAATGCAATGGAATGGAATGGAATGGAGTCAACCCGAGTGGAGTGGAATAGAATGGGATGGAAATAAATGGAATGGAATGGAATGGAATGGAACGGAACTGAATGCAATGAACCCGAGTGGAATGGAATGGAATGGAATGGAATGGAATAAACACGAATGGAATGGAATGGAATGGAATGGAATGGAATGCAATGGAATGGAATAGAATGAACCCGAGTGGAATGGAATGGAATGGAAAGGCACGGAATGGAATGGAAGAGAATGCAATGGAATCAACCTGAGTGGAATGGAATGGAATGGAATCAACCCGAGTGTAATTGAATGGAGTGGAATGCAATGGAATGGAATGGAGTGGAAGGCATTAGAATCAACTGCAATGGAATGGAATGGAATGGAATGGAATGGAATGGAATGGCATGGAATGCAATCAACCCCAGTGGAATGGAATGCATTACAATGGAATGGAAAGGAAACAATCCGGGTGGAATGGAATGGATTATAATGGAATGGAATGGAATCAATCCCGGTGGAATGGAATGGAATGGAATGGAATGGAAAGGAATGGAATGGAATGGAATGGAATCATCCCGAATGGAACGGAAGGGAATGGAGTGGAAAAGAATCGAAAAGAATGGAATGCAAAGGAATCAACACGAATGGACAGGAATGGAAAGTCATGGAATGGAATGGAATGGAATGGAATGGAATGGCATGGAAAGGAATGGAATGGAATGGAATGGAATGCTACGGAATCAACCTGAGTGGAATGGAAATAAATGGACTGGAACGGTATGGAATGGAATGGATTAGAATGGAATCAACCACAGTGGAATGGAATGGAATGGAATGGAATCAACCTGAGTGGAATGTAAATAAATGGACTGGAACGGTATGGAATGGAATGGAATAGAATGGAATCAACCACAGTGGAATGGAATGGAATGGAATGGAATGAACCAAAGTGGAATGGAATTGAACGGAATGCAAAGGAATCAAACCGAGTGGAATGGAATGGAATCAACCAAAGTGTAATGGAATAGAATGGATGCAACGGAATCAAACCAGTGGAATGGAATGGAAAGGAATGGAATGGAATGGCATGGAATGGAAAGGAATGGAATTGAATCAACATGACTGGCATGGAATGGAATGGAAAGGAACGGAATGGAATGGAATGGAATGGTATGGAATTAGCCCGAATGGAAAGGAATGGAATGGAATGGAATGGAATGAAATGGAATGGAATGGAATGGAATGAAATGGAATGGAATGGAATGGAACGGAATCAGCCCGAGAGGAATGGAATGGAATGGAATCAACGAGAGTGGAACGGAATAGAATGGAATGGATTGGAATGGAATGGAAGGCAGTGGAAACAGCAGGAACGGAATTTAATGAAATGGAATGGAATGGAATGGAACGGAATAAACCTGAGTGGAATGGAACGGAATGGAATGCAATGGAATGGAATGGAATGGAATCAACCCCAGTGGAATGGAATGGAATGGAATGGAATGGAATGGAATGGAATGGAATGGAATGGAACGGAATGGAATGCAATGGAATCAACTGGAATGGAATGGAATGGAATGGAATGGAATGGAATCAACGAGAGTGGAACGGAATGGAATGGAATGGATTGGAATGGAATGGAAGGCAGTGGAAACAGCAGGAACGGAATTTAATGAAATGGAATGGAATGGAATGGAACGGAATCAACTTGAGTGGAATGGAATGGAATGGAATGCAATGGAATGGAATGGAATGGAATCAACCCTAGTGGAATGGAATGGAATGGAATGGAATGGAATGGAATGGAACGGAATGGAATGCAATGGAATCAACTGGAATGGAATGGAATGGAATGGAATGGAATGGAACGGAATGGAATCAACCTGAGTGGAATGGAATGGAATGGAATGGAATGGAATGGAACGGAGTGGAATTCAACGGAATGGAAACAACCCGAGTGAAATGGCATGGAATGGATCGGACTTGAATGTAATGGAAAGGAGTGGAATCAACCTCATTAGAAAGCAATGGAACGGAATGGAATGGAATGGAATGGAATGGAACGGAATGGAATGGAATGGAATGGAATGGAATGGAAGGGAATGGAATGCAATGGAATGGAAAGGAATGGAATGGAATGGAATCAACTGGAATGGAATGGAATGGAATGGAAGCAACAAGAAGTGGCATGGAATGGAATGGATTGGAATGGAATCGAATCAACTGGAATGCTATGGAATGAAATCAAGCCGAGTGGAATGGAATGGAATGGAATGGAATGGAATGGAATGGAACCAACTGGAATGGAATGAAATGGAATAGAATGGAGTGGAATGGAATGGAATGGAATGGAATGGAATGGAATCAACCCGAGTGGAATGGAATGGAATGGAATGGAATGGAAGGGAATGGAATCAACCCGAGTGGAGTGGAATAAAATGGAATGGAATGGAATGGACTCAACCCGAGTGGAACGGAATGTAATGGGATGGAATGGAATTGAATGTAATGGAATGGAATGGAATTAACCCAAGTGGAATGAATGGAAAGGAATGGAATGGAATCGAATGGAATGGAATGGAATGGAGCGAAATGGAATTGAATGGAATCAACAAGATTGGAATGGAATGAATGGAATGGAATGGAATAGAAAGTAATGGAACGGAATGGAATGGAATCAACCCGAATGGAAGGGAATGGAATTGAATGGAATGGAATGGATTGGAATCCACCCATGTTAAATGGAATGGAATGGAATGGAATGGAATGGAATGGAATGGAATGGAGTAGAATGTAAAGGAATGGAATGGAAAGGAATGGAATGGAATGGAATGGAATGGAATGGAATGCAATTTAATAAAATGGAATGGAATCAACCAGAGTGGAATGGACTGGAATGTATTGGAATGGAAAGGAATGGAATGGAATCAACCAGAGTGAAATGGAATGGAATGGGATGGAATGGAATGGAATGGAAAGGACGGGAATCAACCCGAGTGGAATGGAATGGAATGGAATGGATTCAACACGAGTGGAATGGAATGGAATGGAATGGAATGGAATGCAATGGAATGGAATGGAATGGAATCAATCCAAGCGGAATGGACTGGAATGGAATGGAATGCAATGGAATGGAATGGAATGGAATGGAATCAGCTGCAGTGGAATGGAATGGAATGGGATGGAATGGAATGGACAGGAATAGAATGGAATGGAATATAACGGAGTGGAATCAACACAAGTGGAATGGAATGGAATCAAATTGAATGGAATGGAAGGAAAGGAATGCAATGGAATGGAATCAACCTCAGTGGAACAGAAAGGAATGTAATGAAATGGAATGGAATAGAATGGAATGGAATGCAATGGAATGGAATGGAATGGAGTGGAATGGAATGGAACTGCATGGAATGATATGGAATCAAATAGAATGGAATGGAATGGGATGGATTGGAATGGAATCGAACGGAATCAACCTGAGTGGAATGGAATGGAATGGAATGGAATGGAATGGAATGGAATGAATGGAAAGGAATGGAATGGAAACAAATGGAATGGAATGGAAAGGAAACAACCCGAGTGGAACGGAATGTAATGGAATGCAATGGAATGGAATTGAATTCAATGTAATGGAAACAAACCGAGTTGAATGTAATGTAATGGAAAGTACTGGAATGGAATGGAATGGATTGGAATCAACCCGATTGCAATGCAATGGAATGGAATGGAATGGAATGGAAAGGAAGAGAATGGAATCAATTCGAGTGCAATGTAATGGTATAGAATGAAATGGAATGGAATGGAATGGAATCAACCAGAGTGCAATGGAATGGAAAGAAATTGAAATGAATGGAATGCAATGGAATGGAATGGAATGGAGTGGAATGGAATAGAACTGCATGGAATGATATGGAATCAAATAGAATGGAATGGAATGGGATGGATTGGAATGGAATCGAACGGAATCAACCTGAGTGGAATGGAATGGAATGGAATGGAATGGAATGGAATGAATGGAAAGGAATGGAATGGAAACTAATGGAATGGAATGGAAAGGAAACAACCCGAGTGGAACGGAATGGAATGGAATGGAAAGGAAACAACCCGAGTGGAACGGAATGGAATGGAATGCAATGGAATGGAATTGAATTCAATGTAGTGGAAACAAACCGAGTGGAATGTAATGTAATGGAAAGGACTGGAATGGAATGGAATGGATTGGAATCAACCCGATTGCAATGCAATGGAATGGAATGGAATGGATTGGAATGGAACGGAATGGAATGGAATGGAACGGATTGGAATGGAATGGAACGGAATGGAATGGAATGGAAGGGAATGGAATGGAATGGAAAGGAATGGAATGAACTGGAATGGAATGGAATGCAATTTAATGGAATGGAATGGAATGGAATCAACCCGAGTGGAGTGGAATGGAATGGAATGGAAATGAATGGAATGGAATGGAAACTAATGGAATGGAATGCAAACAACCCGAGTGGAATGGAATGCAATGGAATGGAATGGAATGGAATGGAATGGAATGGAATTCAACAGAATGGAAACACCCCGAGTGAAATGTCATGGAATGGAAAGGACTTGAATGTAATGGAATGGATTGGAGTCAACCCGATTAGAAAGCAATGGAATGGAATGGAATGGAATGGAATGGAAGGGAATGGAATGGAATGTAATGGAATGGAATGGAAAGGAATGGAATGGAATGGAAGGGATTGGAATGGAATGGAATGGATTAGAATGGAATGGAATGGAATGAAATCAACCCGATTGGAATGGAATGGAATGCAATGTAATGGAATGTAATCAACTGGAAAGGATTGAAATGGAATGGAATGGAATGGAACGGAATCAACCCGAGTGGAATGCAATGGAATGGAATGGAATGGAATGAAATGAAATCAACCCGGGTGGAATGGATTGGAATGGATTGGAATGGAATGGAATGGCATGGAATGCAATGGAATCAACTGGAATGGTATGGAATGGAATGGAATGGAATGGAATCAAACGGAATCAACCTGAGTGGAATGGAAAGGAATGGAATGGAATGAATGGAATGGAAACTAATGGAATGGAATGGAAAGGAACAACCCGAGTGGAATAGAAAGCAATGGAATGCAATGGAATGGAATGGAATGGAATGGGATTTGATATAATGGAAAAAAAACCGACTGGAATGCAATGGAATGGAATGGACTGCAATGTAATGGAATGGATCGGAATCAACCCGATTCCAATGCAACGGAATTGAATGGAATGGAAACGAATGGAAAGAACTGGAATGGAGCGGAATGGAATGGAAATGAATGGAATGGAATGGAATGGAATGGAATGGAATGGAATGGAATGGAATGGAACGGAATGCAATGCAATGGAACAGAAAGGAATGAACCCGAGTGGAATGGAATGGAATGGAATAGAATGGAATGGAAAGGAACGGAACAGAATGGAATGGAATGGAATGGAATGAACACGAGTGGAATGGAAAGGAATGGAATGGATTGGAATATAATGGAATGGAATCAACCCGAGTGGAATAGAATGGAATGGAATGGAATGGAATGGAATGGAATGGGACGGAATGGAATGGAATGGCATGGAATAGAATGGAACGGAACGGAAAGAAACGGAATGGAATGGAATGGAATGGTATCAACCTGAATGAAATGGAATGAAATGGAATGGAATCAACCAAAGTGGAATGCAACGGAATGGAATGGAATGGAATGGAATGGAATGGAATGGAATGGAGTGAAATCAACCCGAGTGGAATGTATAGGAATAGACAGGAATTGAATGGAACGGCATGGAATGCAATGGAATCAACTAGAATGGAATGTAATATAATGGAATGGAATGGAATGGAATAGAATCAACCCGAGTGAAATGGAATGGAAGGGAATGGAATGGAAAGGAATGGAAAGCAATGGATTGGAATCAAACAAATGGAATGGAATGGAATGGAATGGAATGGAATGGAATGGAATAGAATGGAATCAATTCGAGTGCAATGTAATGGTATAGAATGGAATGGAATGGAATGGAATGGAATCAACCAGAGTACAATGCAATGGAAAGAAATTGAAATGAATCGAATGGAATGGAATGGAATGGAATGGAACGGCATGGAATGGAATGGAATGGAGTGGAATCAACCCGAGTGGAATGGAATGGAATGGAATCTAACGGCATGGAATGGAATGGAATGGACTGAAATCAACCCGAGTGGAATGGAATGGAATGGAATGGACTGGAATGCAATGGAATGGAAAGGAATCAACCCGAGTAGAATGAAATGGAATGGAATGGAGTGGAAAGGAATACAATGGAATGGAATAGAATGGAATGGAATGGAACGGAATGGAATGGAAAGGAATGGAATCAACATGAGTGGAATGGAATGGAATGGATTGGAATGGAATAAACACGAGTGGAATGGAATGGAATGGAATGGAATGGAATGGAATGGAATCGAGTGGAATGGAATCAACTCGAGTGGAAAAGAAAGGGATGGAAAGCAATGGAATGGAAAGGAAAGTAATGGAATGCACTGGAATGAAATGGTATGGAATTGAGTCAACCAGAGTGGAGTGGAAAAGAATGAAATGGAATGGAATGGAATGCAATGGAATGGAGTGGAATGGAATAAACACCAGTGGAATGGAATGGAATGGAATGGAATGGAATGGAATGGAATGGAATGGAATGGAATGGCATGGAAAGGAATGGAATGGACAGGATTGAAATGGAATGGAATGGAACGGAATGCTATGGAATGGAATGGAATCAACTGGAAAGGAATGAAGTGGAATGGAATGGAATGGAATGGAATGGAATTGAATGGAATGGAATGGAATCAACACGAGTGGAATGCAATGCAATGGAATGGAATGGAATGTAATAAAATCAACCCGAGTGGAATGCATAGGAATAGAGTGGAATGGAAAGGACAGGCATGGAATGCAATGGAATCAACTAGAATGGAATGGAATGGAATGGAGAGGAATGGAATGGAATGGAATGGAATGGAATGGAATGGAATGGAATGGAGTGGAATGGACTAGAATGGAATGGAATTGAATGAAATCAACCCGATTGGAATGGAATGGAATGCAATGGAATGGAATGGAATCACCTGGAAATGAATCAAATGGAATGGAATGGAATTGAATGGAATGGAATGGAATGGAATGGAATGGAATGGAATGGAATGGAATGGAATCAACCCGAGTGGAATGCAGTGGAATGGAATTGAATGGAATGGAATGGAATCAACACGAGTGGAATGGATTGGAAGGGAGTGGAATGGAATGGAACGGCATGGAATGCAATAGAATCAACTAAAATGGAATGGAATGGAATGGATTGGAATGGAATCGAATGGAATCATCCTGAGTGGAATGTAATGTAATGTAATGTAATGTAATGGAATGGAATGGAATGGAATGGAATGCAATGCAATAGAATGGAATCAATTTGAGTGCAATGTAATGGTATAGAATGGAATGGAATGGAATCAACCAGAGTGGAATGGAATGGAAAGGAATGGAATGGAATGGAATGGAATGGAATGGAATGGAATGGAATGGAATGTTATGTAACGGCATGGAATGGAATGGAATGGAGTGGAATCAACTCGAGTGGAATGGATTGGAATGGACTGTAACGGCATGCAATGGAATGGAATGGAATGGAATGGAATAAACCCGAGTGGAATGGAATGGAATGCAATGGACTGGAATGGAAAGGAATGGAATCAACAAGAATGGAATGCAATGGAATGGAATGGAATGGACTGGAATGGAAAGGAATGGAATCAACACGAATGGAATGGAATGGAATGGAATGGAATGGAATGGAATGGAATGGAATAGAATCAACACGAGTGCAATGGAATGGAATGGAATGGAATGGAATGGAATGGAATAAAAACGAATGGAATGGAAGGGAATGGAATGCAATGGAAAGGAATGGAATGACCTGGAGTGGAATGGAATGGAATGGAATTTAATGGAATGGAATGGAATGGAATCAACCTGAGTGGAGTGGAATGGAATGGAATGGAAATGCATGGAATGGAATCGAATGTAATGGAACGGAAGGGAATGCAATGAACCCGAGTGAAATGGAATGGAATGGAATGGTATGGAATCATCCCGAGTGGAATGGAATGGAATAGAATGGAATAAACACGAGTGGAATGGAATGGAATGGAATGGAAAGAAATGGAATGGAAAGGAATGGACTAGAATGGAATGGGAATGAAAGGAATTTAATGCAATGGTATAGAATGGAGTCAACCCGAGTGGAATGGAATGGAATGGAATGGAATGAAATGGAATGGAATGGAATGCAATGGAATGGAGTGGAATGGAATAAACACCAGTGGACTGGAACGGAACGGAATGGAATGGACAGGAATGGAATGGAATGGAAAGGACTAGAATGGCATGGAATGGAATGAAATCAACCCGATTGGAATGGAATGGAATGCAATGGAATGGAATGGAATAGAATCAACTCGAGTGGAAAGGAATGGAATGGAAAGGAATGGAATGGAAAGGAAAGGAATGGAATGCAATGGTATGCAATGGAGTCAACCCGAGTGGAATGGAATGGAATGGAATGGAATGAAATGGAATGGAATGGAATGCAATGGAATGGAGTGGAATGGAATAAACACCAGTGGAATGGAATGCAATAGAATGGAGTGGAATGGAAAGAAATGGAATGGAATGGATATGGAATGAAATGGAATGGAATGGAATGGAATGGACAGGAAAGGAATGGAATGGAATGGAATGGAATGGAATGGAATGGACTAGAATGGAATGGAATGGAATTAAATCAACCCTATTAGAATGGAATGGAATGCAATGGAATGGAATGGAATCAACTGGAAAGGAGCAAAACGGAATGGAATGGAATGGAATGGAATGGAATGGAATGGAATGGAATGGAATCCACCCGAGTCGAATGCAATGGAATGGAATGGAATAAACCCGGGTGGAATGGATTGGATTGGAGTAGAACGGAATGGAACGGCATGCAGTGCAATGGAATCAACTATAATGGAATGGAATGGAATCGAACGGAATCAACCTGAGTGGAATGGAATGGAATGGAATGGAATGAATGGAATGGAATGGAACGGATACTAATGGAATGGAATGGAATGCAATGGAATGCAATGGAATGGAATAGAATGGAATGGAATGGAATAGAATGGAATTCAATGTAATGGAAACAAACCGAGTGGAATGTAATGGAATGGAAAGGACTGGAAAGTAATGGAATGGGTTGGTATCAACCCGATTCCAATGCAATGCAATGGAATGGAATGGAATGGAATGGAAGGGAATGGAATGAACAGGAATGGAATGGAATGGAATGGATGTTCATGGAATGGAATGGAATGGAATGGAATGGAATGGAATCAACCCGAGTGGAGAGGAATGGAATGGAATGGAAATGAATGGAATGGAATGGAATGGAATGGAATGGAATGGATGTTCATGGAATGGAATGGAATGGAATGGAATGGAATGGAATGGAATGGAATCAACCCGAGTGGAGAGGAATGGAATGGAATGGAAATGAATGGAATGGAATGGAATGGAATGGAATGGAATGGATGTTCATGGAATGGAATGGAATGGAATGGAATGGAATCAACATGAGTGGAGTGGAATGGAATGGAATGGAAATGAATGGAATGGAATGGAATGGAATGGAATGGCATGGAATGGAACGGAACGGAACGGAAAGAACCCGAGTGGAATGGAATGGAATGGAATGGAATGGAATGGAATGGAACGGAATGGAATGTACACAATTGGAATGGAATGGAATGGAATAGAATGGAATGGAGTGGCATGTAATAAACACGATTGGAATGGAATGGAATGGAATGGAATGGAATGGAATGGAAAGGAATGGAATAGAATGTAATGGAATCAACTCGAGTGGAAAGGAATGGAATGGAAAGGAATGAAATGGAAAGGAAAGAATGGAATGCAATAGAATGCAATAGTATGGAATGGAGTCAACCCGAGTGGAATGGAATGGAATGGAATGGAATGGAATGGAATGGAATGGAATGGAATGAAATGGAATGGCATGGAATGCAATGGAATGGAGTGGAATGGAATAAACAGCAGTGGCATAGAATGGAATGGAAGGGAATGGAATGGACAGGAATGGAATGGAATGGAATGGAATGGAATGGAATGGAATGGAATGGAATGGAATGGAATGCACTAGAATGGAACGGAATGGAATGAAATCAACCAGATTGGAATGGAATGGAATACAATGGAATGGAATGGAATCAACTGGAAAGGAATGAAATGAATGGAATGGAATGGAATGGAATGGAATGGATTGGAATGGAATAGAATGGAATGGAATCAACCCGAGTAGAATGCAATGGAATGCAATGGAATGGAATCAACCCGAGTGGAATGGAATGGAATCGAATGGAATAAACACGAATGGAATGGAATGGAATGGAATGGAATGGAATGGAATGGAATCAACTCGAGTGGAATGAAATGTAACGTCATGGAATGGAATGGAATGGAATGGAATGGAATAGAATGGAATCAATTCGAGTGCAATGTAATGGAATAGAATGGAATCAATTAAACTGCAATGTAGTGGTATAGAATGGAATGGAATGGAATGGAATGGAATCAACCAGAGTGGAATGGAATGGAAAGGAATGGAATGGAATGGAAAGGAATGGAATGGAATGAAATGGAATGGAATGGAATGGAATGGAATGGAATGTAACGGCATGGAATGCAATGGAATGGAATGGAATGGAATAAACCCAAGTGGAATGGAATGGAATGGACTGTAACGGCATGGAATGGAATGGAATGGACTGGAAACAAACCGAGTGGAATGGAATGGAATGGAAAGGAATGGAATGGAATCATCCCGAGTGGAATGGAGTGGAATGGAATGGAATGCAATCAACCCGAGTGGAATGGAATGGAATGGATTGTAATGGAATGAACCCGAGTGCAACGGAAAGGAATGGAATGGAAAGGAATGGAATGGAATGAAATGAAGACGAGTGGAATGGAATGGAATAGAATGGAATGGAATGGACTGGAATGGAATGGAATGGAATGGAATGGAATGGAATGGAAGAGAATGGAATGGAATCAACCCGAGTGGAAAGGAATGCAATGGAAAGAAATAGAATGGAATGGAAAGGAATGGAATGCAATGGAATGCAATGGTATGGAATGGAGTCAACCCGAGTGGAATGGAATGGAATGGAATCGAATGCAATGGAATGGAATGGAATGCTATGGAATGGAGTGGAAGGGAATAAACACCAGTGGAATGGAATGCAATGGAATGGAATGGAATGGACTAGAATGGAATGGAATGGAATGAAATCAACCCGATTGGAATGGAATCGAATGCAATGGAATGGATTGGAATCACCTGGATAAGAATGAAATGGAATGGAATGGAATGGAATGGAATGGAATGCAATTGAAAGGAATGGAATGAAATCAACCCGAGTGGCATGGATTGGAAAACAGTGGAATGGAATGGAAAGGCATGGAATGCAATGAAATCAACTAGAATGGAATGGAATGGAATGGAATGGAATGGAATGGACAGGAATGGAATGGAATGGAATGGAGTGGAATGGACTAGAATGGAATGGAATGTAATGAAATCAACCGGATTGGAATGGAATGGAAGGCAATGGAATGGAATGGAGTCAACAGGAAAGGAATCAAATGGAACGGAATGGAATGGAATGCAATGGAATAGAATGGAATGAAATCAACTCGAGGGGAAAGGAATGGAATGGCAAGGAATCGAATGGAAAGGAAAGGAATGGAATCCAAAGGAATGCAATGGTATGGAATGGAGTCAACCCGAGTGGAATGGAATGGAATGGAATGGAATGGAATGGAATGCAATGGATTGGAGTGGAATGGAATAAACACTAGTGGAATGGACAGGAATGGAATGGCATGGACAGGAATGGAATGGAATGGAATGGAATGAAATGGAATAGAATGGAATGGACTAGAATGGAATGGAATGGAATGAAATCAACCAGATTGGAATGGAATGGAATGCAATGGAAGGTAATGGAATCAACAGGAAAGGAATGAAGTGGTGTGGAATGGAATGTAATGGAATGGAGTGGAATGGAATGGAATGGAATGGAATGGAATGGAATGGAATGGAATTAACCCGAGTAGAATTCTATGGAATGGAATGAAATGGAATGGAATGAAATCAACCCTAATGGAATGGATTGTAATAAAATGGAATGGAATGGAATGGCATGGAATGCAATGGAATCAACTAGAATGGAATGGAATGGAATGAAATGGACAGGAATGGAATGGAATCGAATGGAATGGAATGGACTGGAATGGACTAGAATGGAATGGAATGGAATGAAACAAACCCGATTGGAATGGAATGGAATGCAATGGAATGGAATGGAATCAACTTGAAAGGAATGAAATGGAATGGAATGGAATGGAATGGAATGGAATCAACTCGAGTGGAATGGATTGAAATGGAGTGGAATGGAATGGAATGGCATGGAATGCAATGGAATCAACTAGAATGGAATGGTATGGAATGGATTGGAATGGAATCGAATGGAATCAACCAGAGTGGAATGGAATGGAATGGAATGGAATGAATGGAATGGAAACTAAAGGAATGGAATGGAAAGGAAACAACCCGAGTGGAATGGAATGCAATGGAATGCAATGGAATGGAATGGAATGGAATGGAATTCCGTGTAATGGAAACAAACCGAGTGGAATATAATGGAATGAAAAGGACTGGGATGTAATGGAATGGATTGGAATCAACCCGATTACAACGCATCGGAATGGAATGGAAGGGAATGGAATTCAATGGAAAAGAATGGAATGAACTGGAATGCAATGGAATTTAATGGAATGGAATGGCATGGAATGGAATCAACCCGAGGGGAGTCAAATGGAATGGAAAGGAAATGAATGGAACGGAATGGAATGGAACGAAATGGAATGAACCCGAGTAGAATGGAATGGAATGGAATGGAATGGAATGGAATGGAATCAACCCAAGTGGAATGGAATGGAATGGAATGGAAAAAACATGAATGGAATGGAATGGAATGGAATGGAGTGGAATGGAATGGGATGGAATGGAATCAATTCGAGTGCAATGTAATGGTATAGAATGGAATGGAATGGAATGGAATGGAATGGAATCAAACAGAGTGGAATGGAAAGAAAGGAATGGAATGGAATGGATTGGAATGGAATGGAATGGAATGGAACGGCATAGAATGCAATGGAATGGAGTGGAATCAACCCGAGTGGAATGGAATGGAATGGACTGTAAGGGCATGCAATGGAAAGGAATGGCGTGGAATCAAACCGAGTGGAATGGAATGGAAAGGAATGGAATGGAAATGAATGGAATGGAATCAACACGAGTGGAATGGACTGGAATGGAATGGAATGGAATCCACCCGAGTGGAATAGAATGGAATGGAATGGAATAGAATCAACCCGAGTGCAATGGAATGCAATGGAATGAAATGGAATGGAATCGAATGAAATGAACACGTATGGAATGGAATGGAATGGAATGGAATGGAATGGAATGGAATGGAATGGAATGGAATGGAAGAGAATGGAATGGAATCAACACGAGTTGAAAGGAATGGAATGGAAAGGAATAGAATGGAATGGAAAGGAATGGAATGCAATGGAATGCAACGGTATGGAATGGAGTCAACCCGAGTGGATGGAATGGCATGGAATCGAATGGAATGGAATGGAATGGAATGCAATGGAATGGAGTGGAATGGAATAAACACCAGTGGAATGGAATGGAATGGAATGGAATGGACTAGAATGGAATGGAATGGAATGAAATCAACCCGATTGGAATGGAATGGAATGCAATTGAATGGAATGGAATCACCTGGAAAGGAATGAAATGGAATGGAATGGAATGGAATGGAATGAATGGAATGGAATGGAATGGAATGGAATGGAATGAATGGAATGGAATGGAATGGAATGGAATGGAATGGAATGGAATGAATGGAATGGAACGGAATGGTAACTAATGGAATGTAATGGAAAGGAAACAACCCGAGTGGAATGGAATGCAATGGAATGCAATGGAACGGAAGGGAATGGAAAGGAATTCAATGTAATGCAAAAAAATCGAGGGAATGGAATGGAATGGAAAGGACTGGAATGTAATGGAATGGATTGGAGTCAACCCGATTCCAACGCAATGGAATGGAATCGAATGGAAAGGAATGGAATGAACTGGAATAGAATTGAAAGTAATGGAATGAAGTGGAATGGAATGGAATGGAATTTAATGGAATGGAATGGAATGGAATGGAAATGAATGGAATGGAAAGGAATGGAATGGAACGGAAAGGAATGGAATGAACCCGAGTGGAATGGAATGCAACGGAACGGAATGGAATGGAATGGAATGGAATCTACCCGAGTAGAATGGAATGGAATGGAATGGAATGGAATGGAATGGAATGGAATGGAATGGAATAAACACGAGTGGAATGGAATGGAATGGAATGGAATCTAATGGAATGGAATGGAATAGAATGTAATGGAATCAACTCGAGTGGAAAGGAATGGAATGGAAAGGAATGGAATGGAAAGGAAAGGAATGGAATGCAATAGAATGCCATGGTATGGAATGGAGTCAACCCGAGTGGATTGGAATGGAACGGAATGGAATGGAATGAAATGGAATGGAATGGAATGCAACGGAATGGAATGGAATGCAACGGAATGCAGTGGAATGGAATAAACACCAATGGAATGGAATGGAATGGAATGGAATGGAATGGAATGGACAGGAATGGAATGGAATGGAATGGAATGGAATGGAATGGAATGGACTACAATGGAATGAAATGGAATGAAATCAACCCGATTGGAATGCAATGGAATGCAATTGAATGGAATGGAATCAATTGGAAAGGAATGAAATGAATGGAATGGAATGGAATGGAATGGAATGGAATGGAATGGAAAGGAATCAACCCGGGTAGAATGCAATGGAATGGAATGGAATGGAATGGAATGGAATCAACCCGAGTTGATTGGAAGGGAATGGAATGGAAGGGAATGGAATGGAATGCAACGGAATGGAATCAACTCGAGTGGAATGGAATGGAATGGAATGGAATGGAATGGAATGGAATGGAATGGAATAAACACGAGTGGAATGGAATGGAATGGAATGGAATGGAATGGAATAGAATGGAATGGAATCAACTCGAGTGGAAAGGAATGGATTGGAAAGGAATGGAAAGGAAAGGAAAGGAATGGAATGCCATGGAATGCAATAGTATGGAATGGAGTCAACCCGAGAGGAATGGAATCGAATGGAATGGAATGAAAGGGAATGGAATGGAATGCAATGGAATGGAGTGGAATGAAATAAACACCAGTGGAATGGAATATAATGGACAGGAATGTAATGTAATGTAATGGAATGGAATGGAATGGAATGGAGTGCAATGAAATCAACCCTATTGGAATGGAATGGAATACAATGGAATGGAATGGAATGGAATTAACCCTAGTGGAATGTAATGTAATTGAATGGAATGGAATGGAATGAAATCAACCAGAATGGTATGGATTGGAATAGAGTGGAATGGAATGGAATGGCATGGAATGCAATGGAATCAAATAGAATTTAATGGAATTCAATGGAATGGACAGAAATGGAATGGAATGGAATGGAATGGAATGGAATGGAATGTAGTGGAATGGACTAGAATGGAATGGAATGGAATGAAATCAACCCGATTGTAATGGAATGGAATGCAATGGAATGGAATGGAATCAACTGAAAAGGAATCAAATGGAACGGAATGGAATGGAATGGAATGGAATGGAAAGGAATCAAACCCAGTAGAATGTAATGGAATGGACTCGATTATAATTGAATGGAATGGAATCAATGAGGCTGGAATGGAATGGAATGGAATGGATTATAAGGGAATGTAATGGAATGGAATGGAATTCAATGTAATGGAAACGAACCGAGTGGAATGTAACGGAATGGAAAGGACTGGAATGTAATGGAATGGATTGGAATCAACCCGATTCCAATGCAATGGAATGGAATGGAATGCAATGAAATGGAAGATAATGGAATGAACTGGAATGGAATGGAATGGAATGGAATGGAATGGAAGTTAATGGAATTGAATGGAATCAACCCGAGTGGAGTGGAATGGAATGGAATGGAATGGAACGCAATAGAATCTACAAAATTGGAATGGAATGGAATGGAATGGAATGGAATGGAATGGAATGGAATGGCATGTAATAAGCAGGATTGGAATGGAATGGAATGGAATGGAAAGGAATGGAATAGAATGTAATGGAATCAACTCGAGTGGAAAGTAATGGAATGGAAAGGAATGGAAGGGAAAGGAAAGAATGGAATGCAATAGAATGCAATGGTATGGAATGGAGTCAACCCGAGTGGAATGCAATGGAATGGAATGGAATGAAATGGAATGGAATGGAATGCAATGGAATGGAGTGCAATGGAATAATCAACAATGGAATGGAATGCAATGGAATAGAGTGGAATGGAATGAACACCAGTGGAATGGAATGCAATGGAATGGAATGGAATTGAATGGAATGGAATGGAATGGAATGGAATGGTATGGAATGGAATCAACCCCAGTGGAATGTAATGTAATGGAATGGAATGGAATGGAATGGAATAAACAAGAGTGGAATGGAAAGGAATGGAATGGAATGGAATGGAATGGAATGGAATGGAATGGAATAGAATGGAATGGAATGGATTGGAAAGGAATTGAATTGAAAGGAAACTAATGGAATTCAATGGAATACAAAGGTATGGAATGGAGTAAACCCGAGTGGAATTGAATGCAATGGAATGTAATGTAATGGAATGGAATGGAATGCAATGGAATGGAGTGGAATGGAATAAACACCAGTGGAAAGGAATGGAATGCAATGGAATGGAATGGACAGGAATGGAATGGAATGGAATGGAATGGATTGGAATGGAATGGAATGGAATGGAATTGAATGGAATGGAGTGCAATGAAATCAACCCAATTGGAATGGAATGGAATGCAATGGAATGGAATGGAATCAACTGGAAAGGAATCAAATGGAAAGGAATGGAATGGAATGGAATGGAATGGAATGGAATGGAATGGAATTAACCCGAGTGGAATGCAGTGGAATGGAATGGAATGGAATGGAATGGAATGAAATCAACCCGAATGGAATGGATTTGAATAGAGTGGAATGGAATGGAACGGCATGGAATGCAATGGAATCAACTAGAATGGAATGGGATGGAATGGAAAGGAATGGAATGAACTGGAATGGAATGGAATAGAATGGAATTTAATGGAATGGAATGGAATTGAATGGAATCAACCCGAGTGGAGTGGAATGGATTGGAATGGAAATGAATGGAATGGAATGGAATGGAGTAGAACGGAACGGAATGGAATGAACCCGAGTGGAATGGAAAGGAATGGAATGGAATGGAATGGAATGGAATGGAATGGAATGGAATTAACCCGAGTGGAATGAAATGGAATGGAATGGAATAAACACGAGTGGAATGGAATGGAATGGAATGGAATGGAAATGAATGGACTAGAATGGAATGGAATGGAAAGGAATGGAATGCAATGAATTGCAATGGTATGGAATGGAGTCAACCCGAGTGGAATGGAATGGAAAGGAATGGAATGAAATGGAATGGAATGGAATGCAATGGAATGCAGTGGAATGGAATAATCAACAGTGGAATGGAATGCAATGGAATAGAGTGGAATGGAATAAACACCAGTGGAATGGAATGGAATGGAATGGAATGGAATGGAATGGAATGGTCAGGAATGGAATGGAATGGAATGGAATGGAATGGAAAGGACTAGAAGGGAATGGAATGGAATGAAATCAACCCGATTGCAATAGAATGGAATGCAATGGAATGGAATGGAATCAGCTGGAAAAGAATCAAAGGGAATGGAATGGAAGGGAATGGAATGGAATGGAATGGAATGGAATGGATTCAACCCGAGTGGAATGGAATGGAATGGAATGGAACGGAATAAACACGAATGGAATGGAATGGAATGGAATGGAATGGAATGGAATGGAATCAACTCGAGTGGAATGAAATGTAACGTCATGGAATGGAATGGAATGGAATGGAATGGAATAGAATGGAATCAATTCGAGTGCAATGTAATTGAATAGAATGGAATCAATTAAACTGCAATGTAATGGTATAGAATGGAATGGAATGGAATGGAATGGAATGGAATCAACCAGAGTGGAATGGAATGGAAAGGAATGGAATGGAATGGAAAGGAATGGAATCGAATGAAATGGAATGGAATGGAATGGAATGGAATGTAACGGCATGGAATGCAATGGAATGGAGTGGAATCAACCCGAGTGGAATGGAATGGAATGGACTGTAACAGCATAGAATGGAATGGAATGGACTGGAAACAAACCGAGTGGAATGGAATGGAATGGAAACGAATGGAATGAAATCAACCCGAGTGGAATGGAGTGGAATGGAATGGAATGGAATCAACCCGAGTGGAATGGAATGGAATGGATTAGAATGGAATGAACCCGACTGCAACGGAATGGAATGGAATGGGAAGGAATGGAATGGAATGAAATGAACACGAGTGGAATGGAATGGAATGGAATGGAATGGAATGGAATGGAATGGAATGGAAGAGAATGGAATGGAATCAATCTGAGTGGAAAGTAATGGAATGGAAAGGAATAGAATGGAATGGAAAGGAATGGAATGCAATGGAATGCAATGGTATGGAATGGAGTCAACACGAGTGGAATGGATTGGAATGGAATCGAATGCAATGGAATGGAATGGAATGCTATGGAATGGAGTGGAATGGAATAAACACCAGTGGAATGGAATGGAACGGAATGGAATGGACAGGAATGGAATGAAATGGAATGGAATGGAAAGGACTAGAATGGAATGGAATGGAATGAAATCAAACCGATTGGAATGGAATGGAATGCAATGGAATGGAATGGTATCAACTGGAAAGGAATCAAAGGGAACGGAATGGAATGCAACGGAATGGAATGGAATGGAATGGAACAGAATGGAATAGAATCAACTCGAGTGGAAAGGAATGGAAAAGAAAGGAATGGAATGGAAAGGAAAGGAATGGAATGCAATGGAATGCAAAGGTATGGAATGGAGTCAATCCGAGTGGAATGGAATGGAATGGAATGGAATGGAATGGAATGGAATTTAAAGGAATGAAATGGAATGGAATGGAATGAAATTGAATGGAATGGAATGCAATGGAATGTAGTGGAATGGAATAAACACCAGTGGAATGGAATGCAATGGAATGGAGTGGAATGGAAAGAAATGGAATGGAATGGAATGGAATGGAATGGAATGGACATGAATGGAATGGAATGGACTAGAATGGAATGGAATGGAAATAAATCAACCCGATTGGAATGGAATGGAATGCAATGGAATGGAATGGAATGAACTGGAAAGGAACGAAATGGAATGGAAAGGAATTGAATGGAATGGAATGGAATGGAATGGAATGGAATGGAAGGGAATCCACCCGAGTCGAATGCAAGGGAATGGAATGGAATGGAATGGAATGGAATGGAATGGAATCAACCCAAGTGGAATGGACTGGAATGGAATGGAATACAATGGAATGGAATGGAATGGAATGGAATCAGCTGCAGTGGAATGGAATGGAATGGGATGGAATGGAATGGACAGGAATAGAATGGAATGGAATATAACGGAGTGGAATCAACACGAGTGGAATGGAATGGAATCAAATTGAATGGAATTGAAGGAAAGGAATGCAATGGAATGGAATCAACCTCAGTGGAACAGAAAGGAATGTAATGAAATGGAATGGAATGGAATGGAATGCAATGGAATGGTATGGAATGGAGTGGAATGGAATGGGTTGGAATGGGATGGAATCAACCCGAGTGGAACGGACTGGAATGGAGTGGAATGGAATGGAACGGCATGGAATGATATGGAATCAACTAGAATAGAATGGAATGGGATGGATTGGAATGGAATCAAATATAATCAACCTGAGTGTAATGGAATGGAATGGAATGGAATGAATGGAAAGGAATGGAATGGAAACTAATGGAATGGAATGGAAAGGAAACAACCCTAGTGGAACGGAATGCAATGGAATGCAAAGGAATGGAATTGAATTCAATGTAATGGAAACAAACCGAGTGGAATGTAATGTAATGGAAAGGACTGGAATGTAATGGAATGGATGGGAATCAACCCGATTCCAATGCAACAGAATGGAATGTAATCGAATAGAGTGGAACGGAATGGAATGGAAAGGAAAGAATGGAATGAACTGGAATGGAATGGAACGGCATGGAATTTAACGGAATGGAATGGAATGGAATGAAATGGAATGGAATCAACCCGGGTAGAATGCAATGGAATGGAAAGGAATGGAATGGAATGGAATCAACCCGAGTTGATTAGAAGGGAATGGAATGGAATGGAATGGAACGGAATGGAATGGAATGGAAGGGAATGGAATGGAATGGAAAGGAATGGAATGAACTGGAATGGAATGGAATGCAATTTAATGGAATGGAATGAAATCAACCCGAGTGGAGTGGAATGGAATGGAATGGAAATGAATGGAATGGAATGGAAACTAATGGAATGGAATGCAAACAACCCGAGTGGAATGGAATGCAATGGAATGGAATGGAATTCAATGGAATGGAAACACCCCGAGTGAAATGGCATGGAATGGAAAGGAATTGAATGTAATGGAATGGATTGGAATCAACCCGATTAGTAAGCAATGGAATGGAATGGAATGGAATGGAATGGAATGGAATGGAAGGGAATGGAATGAAATGGAATTGAAAGGAAAGGAATGGAATGGAATGGAAGGGATTGGAATGGAATGGAATGGATTAGAATGGAATGGAATGGAATGAAATCAACCCGATTGGAATGGAATGGAATGCAATGTAATGGAATGGAATCAACTGGAAAGAATTGAAATGGAATGGAATGGAATGGAACGGAATCAACCCGAGTGGAATGAAATGGAATGGAATGGAATGGAATGAAAAGAAATCAACCAGGCTGGAATGGATTGGAATGGAGTGGAATGGAATGGAATGGCATGGAATGCAATGGAATCAACTGGAATGGAATGGAATGGAATGGAATGGAATGGAATGGAATGGAATCAAACGGAATCAACCTGAGTGGAATGGAAAGGAATGGAATGGAATGAATGGAGTGGAAACTAATGGAATGGAATGGAAAGGAAACAACCCGAGTGGAATAGAAAGCAATGGAATGCAATGGAATGGAATGGAATGGAATGGAATTTGATATAATGGAAAAAAAACCGACTGGAATGCAATGGAATGGAAAGGACTGCAATGTAATGGAATGGATCGGAATCAACCCGATTCCAATGCAACGGAATTGAATGGAATGGAAACGAATGGAATGAACTGGAATGGAATGGAATGGAATGGAAATGAATGGAATGGAATGGAATGGAATGGAATGGAATGGAACGGAATGCAATGGAATGGAACAGAACGGAATGAACCCGAGTTGAATGGAATGGAATGGAATGGAATGGAATGGAATGGAATGGAATGGAAAGGAACGGAATAGAATGGAATGGAATGGAATGGAATGAACTCGAGTGGAATGGAATGGAATGGAATGGATTGGAATGCAATGGAATGGAATCAACCCGAGTGGAATAGAATGGAATGGAGTGGAATGGAATGGAATGGGACGGAATGGAATGGAATGGCATGGAATAGAATGGAACGGAACGGAAGGGAACAGAATGGAATGGAATGGAATGGTCTCAACCTGAATGAAATGGAATGAAATGGAATGGAATCAACCACAGTGGAATGCAACGGAATGGAATGGAATGGAATGGAATGGAATGAAATCAACCCGAGTGGAATGGATAGGAATAGAGACGAATTGAATGGAACGGCATGGAATGCAATGGAATCAACTAGAATGGAATGTAATATAATGGAATGGAATGGAATGGAATGGAATAGAATCAACCCGAGTGAAATGGAATGGAAGGGAATGGAATGGAAAGGAATGGAAAACAATGGATTGGAATCAACCAAAT
Organism: Homo sapiens; assembly: GCF_000001405.40. Lineage (NCBI taxonomy): Eukaryota > Metazoa > Chordata > Mammalia > Primates > Hominidae > Homo > Homo sapiens. Next base: position 41,903,954 of record NC_000010.11, read on the forward strand.
AGAATGGAATGGAATGGAATGGAATGGAATAGAATGGAATCAATTCGAGTGCAATGTAATGGTATAGAATGGAATGGAATGGAATGGAATGGAATCAACCAGAGTGCAATGGAATGGAAAGAAATTGAAATGAATGGAATGGAATGGAATGGAATGGAATGGCATGGAATGGAATGGAATGGAGTGGAATCAACCCGAGTGGAATGGAATGGAATGGAATCTAATGGCATGGAATGGAATGGAATGGACTGAAATCAACCCGAGTGGAATGGAATGGAATGGAATGGACTGGAATGGAATGGAATGGAATGGAATCAACCCGAGTGGAATGAAATGGAATGGAATGGAGTGGAAAGGAATACAATGGAATGGAATGGAATGGAATGGAATGGAATGGAATGGAATGGAATGGAATCAACACGAGGGGAATGGAATGGAATGGAATGGACTGGAATAAACACGGGTGGAATGGAATGGAATGTAATGGAATAGAATGGAATGGAATCAACTCGAGTGGAAAAGAATGGAACGGAAAGCAATGGAATGGAAAGGAAAGTAATGGAATGCAATGGAATGCAATGGTATGGAATTGAGTCAACCAGAGTTGAGTGGAAAAGAATGAAATGGAATGGAATGGAATGCAATCGAATGGAGTGGAATGGAATAAACACCAGTGGAATGGAATGGAATGGAATGGAATGGAATGGAATGGAATGGACAGGATTGGAATGGAATGGAATGGAACGGAATGCTATGGAATGGAATGGAATCAACTGGTAAGGAATGAAATGGAATGGAATGGAATGGAATGGAATGGAATGGACTGGAATCAACACGAGTGGAATGCAATGGAATGGAATGGAATGGAATGGAACAAAATCAACCCGAGTGGAATGCATAGGAATAGAGTGGAATGGAAAGGAAAGGCATGGAATGCAATGGAATCAACTAGAATGGAATGGAATGGAATGGACAGGAATGGAATAGAATGGAATGGAATGGAATGGAATGGAATGGAGTGGAATGGACTAGAATAGAATGTAATGGAATGAAATCAACCCGATTGGAATGGAAAGGAATGCAATGGAATGGAATGGAATCAACTGGAAAGGAATGAAATGGAAGGGAATGGAGAGGAATGGAATGGAATGGAATGGAATGGAATGGAATGGAATCAACCCGAGTGGAATGCAACGGAAAGGAATGGAATGGAATGGAATGGAATCAACTCGAGTGGAATAAATTGGAATGGAGTGGAATGGAATGGAACGGCATGGAATGCAATGGAATCAACTAGAATGGAATGGAATGGAATGGATTGAATTGGAATCGAACGGAATCACACTGAGTGGAATGGAATGGAATGGAATGGAATGAATGGAATGGAATGGAATGGAAACTAAAGGAATGCAATGGAAAGGAAACAACCCGAGTGGAATGGAATGCAATGGAATGGAATGGAATGGAATGGAATGGAATGGAATGGAATGGAATTCAGTGTAATGGAAACAAACCGATTGGAATGTAATGGAAAGAAAAAGACTGGGATGTAATGGAATGGATAGGAATCAACCCGATTACAATGCAACGGAATGGAATGGAAGGGAATGGAATGGAATGGAAAGGAATGGAATGAACTGGAATGCAATGGAATTTAATGGAATGGAATGGAACGGAATGGAATGAACCCGAGTGGAGTGGAATGGAATGGAAAGGAAATGAATGGAATGGAATGGAATGGAATGGAACGGAACGAAATGAAATGAACCCGAGTAGAATGGAATGGAATGGAATGGAATGGAATCAACCCGAGTGGAATGGAATGGAATGGAATGGAATGGAATGGAATGGAATGGAATGGAACGGAACTAAAAGGATTGAACCCGAGTCGAATGGAATGGAATGGAATGGAATGGAATGGAATCAACCCGAGTGGAATGGAATGGAGCGGAATAAACACGAATGGAATGGAATGGAATGGAATGGAATGGAATGGAATGGAATGGAATCAACTCGAGTGGAATGAAACGGAATGTCAATTAATGGAATGGAATGGAATAGAATGGAATGGAATGGAATGGAGTGGAATAGAATGGAATCAATTCGAGTGCAATGTAATGGAATAGAATGGAATCAATTAAACTGCAATGTAATGGTATACAATGGAACGGAATGGTATGGAATGGAATGGAATGGAATCAACCAGAGTGGAATGGAATGGAAAGGAATGGAATGGAATGGAAAGGAATGGAATGGAATGAATTGGAATGGAATGGAATGGAATGGAATGTAACGGCATGGAATGCAATGGAATGGAGTGGAATCAACCCGAGTGAAATGGAATGGAATGGACTATAACGGCATGGAATGGAATGGAATGGACTGGAAACAAACCGAGTGGAATGGAATGGAATGGAAACGAATGGAATGGAATCAACCCGAGTGGAATGGAGTGGAATGGAATGGAATGGAGTCAACCCGAGTGGAATGGAATGGAATGGATTGGAATGGAATGAACCCGACTGCAACGGAATGGAATGGAATGGAAAGGAATGGAATGGAATGAAATGAACACGAGTGGAATGGAATGGAATGGAATGGAATGGAATGGAATGGAAAGGAATGGAATGGAATGGAATGGAATGGAATGGAATGGAATGGAATTTTATGGACAGTAATGGAACGGAATGGAATGGAATGGAATGGAATGGAATGGAATGGAATGGAATTGACTAGAATGGAATGGAATGGAATGAAATAAACCGGATTGGAATGGAATGGAATGCAATGGAATGGAATGGAATGGAATCAACCGGAAAGGAATCAAATGGAACGGAATGGAATGGAATGGAATGGAATGGAATGGAAAAAATGGAATGGAATAACTCGAGAGGAAAGGAATGGAATGGCAAGGAATCGAATGGAAAGGAAAGGAATGGAATGCAAAGGAATGCAATGGTATGGAATGGAGACAACCCGAGTGGAATGGAATGGAATGGAATGGAATGGAATGGAATGGAATGGATTGGAGTGGAATGGAATAAACACTAGTGGAATGGAATGGAATGGAATGGCATGGACAGGAATGGAATGGAATGGAATGGAATGAAATGGAATGGAATGGAATGGACTAGAATGGAATGGAATGGAATGAAATCAACCAGATTGGAATGGAATGGAATGCAATGGAGTGGAATGGAATCAACAGGAAAGGAATGAAGTGGAGTGGAATGGAATGGAATGAAATGGAGTGGAATGGAATGGAATGGAATGGAGTGGAATGGAATGGAATTAACCCGAGTAGAATGCTATGGAATGGAATGAAATGGAATGGAATGAAATCAACCCTAATGGAATGGATTGGAATAAAATGGAATGTAATGGAATGGCATGGAATGCAATGGAATCAACTAGAATGGAATGGAATGGAATGAAATGGACAGGAATGGAATGGAATGGAATGGAATGGAATGGACTGGAATGGACTAGAATGGAATGGAATGGAATGAAATCAACCCGAATGGAATGGAATGGAATGGAATGCAATAGAATGGAATGGAATCAACTTGAAAGGAATGAAATGGAATGGAATGGAATGGAATGGAATCAACCCGAGTGGAATGCAATGGAATGGAATGGAATGGCATGGAATGGAATGGAATGGCATGGAATGGAATGGAATCAACTCGAGGGGAATGGATTGAAATGGAGTGGAATGCAATGGAACGGCATGGAATGTAATGGAATCAACTAGAATGGAATGGAATGGAATGGATTGGAATGGAATCGAACGGAATCAACCTGAGTGGAATGGAATGGAATGGAATGGAATGAATGGAATGGAAACTAAAGGAATGGAATGGAAAGGAAACAACCCGAGTGGAATGGAATTCAATGGAATGCAATGGAAAGGAATGGAATGGAATGGAATTGAATGGAATGAATGGAATGGAAACTAAAGGAATGGAATGGAAAGGAAACAACCCGAGTGGAATGGAATTCAATGGAATGCAATGGAATGGAATGGAATGGAATGGAATTCAGTGTAATGGAAACAAACCGAGTGGAATATAATGGAATGAAAAGGATTGGGATGTAATGGAATGGATTGGAATCAACCCGATTACAACGCAACGGAATGGAATGGAAGGGAATGGAACTCAATGGAAAAGAATGGAATGAACTGGAATGCAATGGAATTTAATGGAATGGAATGGAACGGAATGGAATCAACCCGAGGGGAGTCGAATGGAATGGAAAGGAAATGAATGGAATGGAATGGAATGGAAAGAAATGGAATGACCCCGAGTAGAATGGAATGGAACGGAATGGAATGGAATGGAATTGAATGGAATCAACTCGAGTGGAATGAAATGTAACGTCATGGAATGGAATGGAATGGAATGGAATGGAATGGAATGGAATGGAATAGAAAGGAATCAATTCGAGTGCAATGTAATGGTATAGAATGGAATGGAATGGAATGGAATATAACGGCATGGAATGCAATGGAATGGAGTGGAATCAACCCGAGTGGAATGGAATGGAATGGACTGTAACGGCATGGAATGGAATGGAATGGAATGGAATGGAATAAAACCGAGTGGATAGGAATGGAAAGGAATGGAACGGAAATGAATGGAATGGAATCAACCCGAGTGGAATGGATTGGAATGGAATGGAATGGAATCAACCCGAGTGGAATAGAATGGAATGGAATGGAATGGAAACAACCCGAGTGCAATGGAATGCAATGGAATGAAAAGGAATGGAATCGAATGAAATGAACACGTGTGGAATGGAATGGAATGGAATAGAATGGAATGGAATGGAATGGAGTGGAAGAGAATGGAATGGAATCAACCCGAGTTGAAAGGAATGGAATGGAAAGGAATAGAATGGAATGGAAAGGAATGGAATGCAATGGAATGCAATGGTATGGAATGGAGTCAACCCGAGTGGATGGAATGGAATGGAATCGAATGGAATGGAATGGAATCGAATGCAATGGAATGGAGTGGAATGGAATAAACACCAGTGGAATGGAATGGAATGGAATGGAATGGAATGGAATGGACTAGAATGGAATGGAATGGAATGAAATCAACCCGATTGGAATGGAATGGAATGCAATGGAATGGAATGGAATCACCTGGAAAGGAATGAAATGGAATGGAATGGAATGGAATGAATGGAATGGAATGGAATGGAATGGAATGAATGGAATGGAACCGAATGGAAACTAATAGAATGTAATGGAAAGGAAACAACCAGAGTGGAATGGAATACAATGGAATGCAATGGAATGGAATGGAATGCAATGGAATTCAATGGAATGGAAAAAAAGCGAGGGAATGGAATGGAATGGAAAGGACTGGAATGTAATGGAATGGATTGGAGTCAACCCGATTCCAACGCAATGGAATGGAATCGAATGGAAAGGAATGGAATGAACTGGAATGGAATGGAAAGAATGGAATGAACTGGAATGGAATGGAATGGAATGGAATTTAATGGAATGGAATGGAATGGAATGGAATCAACCCGAGTAGAGTGCAATGGAATGGAATGGAAATGAATGGAATGGAATGGAATGGAATGGAACGGAACGGAATGGAATGAACCCGAGTGGAATGGAAAGCAATGGAATGGAATGGAATGGAATGGAATCTACCCTAGTAGAATGTTATGGAATGGAATGGAATGGAATGGAATGGAATAAACACGAGTGGAATGGAATGGAATGGAATGGAATGGAATGCAATGGAATGGAATAGAATGTAATGGAATAAACTCGAGTGGAAAGGAATGGAATGGAAAGGAATGAAATGGAAAGGAAAGGAATGGAATGCAACAGAATGCCATGGTATGGAATGGAGTCAACCCGAGTGGATTGGAATGGAACGGAATGGAATGGAATGAAATGGAATGGAATGGAATGCAACGGAATGGAGTGGAATGGAATAAACACCAATGGAATGGAATGGAATGGAATGGAATGGAATGGAATGGAATGGAATGGACAGGAATGGAATGGAATGGAATGGAATGGAATGGAATGGAATGGAATAAAATGGAATGAAATCAACCCGATTGGAATGGAATGGAATGCAATTGAATGGAATGGAATCAATTGGAAAGGAATGAAATGAATGGAATGGAATGGAATGGAATGGAATGGAATGGAAAGGAATCAACCCGGGTAGAATGGAATGGAATGGAATGGAATGGAATGGAATCATCCCGAGTGGAATGGAATGGAATAGAATGGAATAAAAACGAGTGGAATGAATGGAATGGAATGGAATGGAAAGGAATGGACTAGAATGGAATGGAAAGGAAAGGAATTTAATGCAATGGAATGGAATGGAGTCAACCCGAGTGGAATGGAATGGAATGGAATGGAATGAAATGGAATGGAATAGAATGCAAAGGAATGGAGTGGAATGGAATAAACACCAGTGGAATGGAATGGAATGGAATGGAATGAAATGGAATGGAATGGAATGCAATGGAATGGAGTGGAACGGAATAAAAAACAGTGGAATGGAATGCAATGGAATAGAGCTAGAATGGAATAAACACCAGTGGACTGGAATGGAACGGAATGGAATGGACATGAATGGAATGGACAGGAACGGAATGGAATGGAAAGGCTAGAATGGAATGGAATGGAATGAAATCAACCCGACTGGAATGGAATGGAATGCAATGGAATGGAATGGAATCAACTGGAAAGGAATCAAAGGGAACGGAATGGTATGGAATGGAATGGAATGGAATGGAATGGAATGGAATGGAATAGAATGGAATAGAATCAACTCGAGTGGAAAGGAATGGAATGGAAAGGAATGGAATGGAAAGGAAACGAATGGAATGCAATGGAATGCAATGGTATGGAATGGAGTCAACCCGAGTGGAATGGAATGGAATGGAATGGAATGAAATGGAATGTAATGGAATGAAATGTAATGTAATGGAATGGAATGGAATGGAATGGAATGGAATGGAATGGAATGGAATGGAATGCAATGGAATGGAGTGGAATGGAATAAACACCAGTGGAATGGAATGCAATGGAATGGAGGGGAATGGAAAGAAATGGAATGGAATGGAATGGAATGGATTGGAATGGAGAGGAATGGAATGGAATGGAACGGAATGGATTGGAATCGAATGGAATGGGCTAGAATGGAATGGAATGGAATTAAATCAACCCGATTGGAATGGAATGGAATGCAATGGAATGGAAGGGAATCAACAGGAAAGGAACGAAATGGAATGGAATGGAATGGAATGGAATGGAATGGAATGGAATGGAATGGAATCCACCCGAGTGGAATGCAATGGAATGGAATGGAATGGAATGGAATCAACCCGGGTGGAATGGATTGGAATGGAGTAGAACGGAATGGAACGGCATGCAATGCAATGGAATCAACTAGAATGGAATGGAATGGAATCGAACGGAATCAACCTGAGTGGAATGGAATGGAATGGAATGAATGGAATGGAATGGAACGGATACTAATGGAATGGAATGGAAAGGAAACAACCCGAGTGGAATGGAATGCAATGGAATGCAATGGAGAGGAGTGGAATGGAATGGAATGGAATGGAATGGAATGGAATGGAATTCAATGTAATGGAAACAAACCGAGTGGAATGTAATGGAATGGAAAGGACTGCAATGTAATGGAATGGATTGGAATCAACCCGATTCCAATGCAACCGAATGGAATGGAATGGAATGGAAGGGAATGGAATGGAATGGAATGGAAAGGAATGGAATGAACTGCAATGGAATGGAATGGAATGGAAGTTAATGGAATGGAATGGAATGGAATGGAATGGAATCAACACGAGTGGAGTGGAATGGAATGGAATGGAATGGAATGGCATGTAATAAACACGATTGGAATGGAATGGAATGGAATGGAATGGAATGGAATGGAAAGGAATTGAATAGAATGTAATGGAATCAACACGAGTGGAAAGGAATGGAATGGAAAGGAATGGAATGGAAAGGAAAGAATGGAATGCAATAGAATGCAATGGTATGGAATGGAGGCAACCCGAGTGGAATGGAATGACATGGAATGGAATGAAATGGAATGGAATGGAATGGAATGGAATGGAATGGAATGGAATGGAATGGAATCTACCCAATTGGAATGGAATGGAATGGAATGGAATAGAATGGAATGGAATGGAATGGCATGTAATAAACAGGATTGGAATGGAATGGAATGGAATGCAATTTAAAGGAATGGAATAGAATGTAATGGAATCCACTCGAGTGGAAAGGAATGGAATGGAAAGGAATGGAATGGAAAGGAAAGAATGGAATGCAATAGAATGCAATGGTATGGAATGGAGTCAACCCGAGTGGAATGGAATGGAATGGAATGGAATGAAATGGAATGGAATGGAATGCAATGGAATGGAGTGGAATGGAATAAACAGCAGTGGAATGGAAGGGAATGGAAGGGAATGGAATGGACAGGAATGGAATGGAATGAAATGGAATGGAATGGAGTGCAATGGAATAATCAACAAAGGAATGGAATGCAATGGAAGAGAGTGGAATGGAATAAACACCAGTGGAATGGAATGGAATGGAATGGAATGGAATGGAATGGAATGCAACGGAATGGAGTGGAATGGAATGGAAGGGAATGGAATGGAATGGACAGGAATGGAATGGAATGGAATGAAATCAAGCAGATTGGAATGGAATGGAATCAACTGGAAAGGAATGAAATGGAATGGAATGGAATGCAATGGATTGGAATGGAATGGAATCAACGCGAGTGGAATGCAATGGAATGGCATGGAATGGAATGGAATCAACCCGAGTGGAATGGATTGGAATCGAGTGAAATGGAATGGAACAACATGGAATGCAATGGAATCAACTAGAATGGAATGGAATGGAATGGATTGGAATGGAATCGAACGGAATCAACCTGAATGGAATGGAATGGAATGGAATGAAATGAATGGAATGGAATGGAATGGATACTAATGCAATGGAATGGAAAGGAAACAACCCGAGTGGAATGGAATGCAATGGAATGCAATGGAATGCAATGGAATGGAATGGAATGGAATGGAATGGAATTCAATGTAATGGAAACAAACCGAGTGGAATGTAGTGGAATGGAAAGGACTGCAATGAGATGGAATGTACTGGAATCAGCCCAATTCCAATGCAACGGAATGGAAAGCAATGGAATAGAATGGAATGGAATGGAAGGGAATGGAAAGGAATGGAAAGGAATGGAATGACCTGGAGTGGAATGGAATGGAATGGAATTTAATGGAATGGAATGGAACGCAATGGAATCAACACGAGTGGAGTGGAATGGAATGGAATGGAAATGAATGGAATGGAATGGAATGGAATGGAATGGAACGGAACGGAATGCAATGAACCCGAGTGAAATGGAATGGAATGGAATGGAATGGAATCATCCCGAGTGGAATGGAATGGAATAGAATGGAATAAACACGAGTGGAATGGAATGGAATGGAATGGAAAGGAATGGACTGGAATGGAATGGAAAGGAAAGGAATTTAATGCAATGGTGTGTAATGGAGTCAACCTGAGTGGAATGGAATGGAACGGAATGGAATGGAATGGAATGGAATGAAATGGAATGGAATGGAATGGAATGCAATGGAATGGAGTGGAACGGAATAAAAAACAGTGGAATGGAATGCAATGGAATAGAGTGGAATGGAATAAACACCAGTGGAATGGAATGGAAAGGAATGGAATTTACAGGAATGGATTGGAATGGAATGGAATGGAATGAAAAGGACTAGAATGGAATGGAATGGAATGGAATGAAATGAACCCGATAGGAATGGAATGGAATGCAATGGAATGGAATGGAATCAACTGGAAAGGAATCAAAGGGAACGGAATGGAATGGAATGGAATGGAATGGAATGGAATGGAATGGAAAGGAATGGAATGGAATGAAATGGAATGGAATAGACTGGAATACAATCAACTCGATTGGAAAGGAATGTAATGGAAAGGAATGGAATGGAAAGGAAAGGAATGGAATGCAATGGTATGGAATGGAGTCAACCCGAGTGGAATGGAATGCAATGTAATGGAATGAAATAGAATGGAATGGAATGAAATTGAATGGAATGGAATACAATGGAATGGAGTGGAATGGAATAAACACCAGTGGAATGGAATGCAATGGAATGCAGTGGAATGGAAAGAAATGGAATGGAATGGAATAGAATGGAATGGAATGGAATTAAATCAACCCGATTGGAATGGAATGGAATGCAATGGAATGGAATGGCATCAACTGCAAAGGAACGAAATGGAATGGAATGGAATGAATGGAATGGAATGGAATGGAATCCACCCTAGTCGAATGCAATGGAACGGGAAAGAATGGAATGGAATCAACCAGGGTGGAATGGATTGGAATGGAGTAGAAGGGAATGGAACAGCATGCAATGCAATGGAATCAAGTAGAATGGATTGGAATGGAATCGAACGGAATCAACCTGAGTGGAATGGAATGGAATGGAATGAATGGAATGGAATGGAACGGATACTAATGGAATGGAATGGAAAGGAAACAACCCGAGTGGAATGGAATGCAATGGAATGCAATGGAATGGAATGGAATGGAATGGAATGGAATGGAATGGAATGGAATGGAATTCAATGTAATGGAAACAAACCGAGTGGAATGTAATGGAATGGAAAGGACTGGAATGTAATGGAATGGATTGGAATCAACCCGATTCCAATGCAATGGAATGGAATGGACTGGAATTGAATGGAAGGGAATGGAATGGAATGGAAAGGAATGGAATGAACTGGAATGGAATGGGATGGAAGTTAAAGGAATGGAATGGAATGGAATGGAATGGAATCAACCCGAGTGGAGTGGAATGGAATGGAATGGAAATGAATGGAATGGAATGGAATGGAAAAGAATGGAATGGAATGGAATGGAACGGAACGGAATGGAAAGAACCCGAGTGGAATGGAATGGAATGGAATGGAATGGAATGGAACGGAATGGAATCTACCCAATTGGAATGGAATGGAATGGAATGGAACGGAATGGAATGTACCCAATTGGAATGGAATGGAATGGAATGGAATGGAATGGAATGGCATGTAATAAACACGATTGGAATGGAATGGAATGGAATGGAATAGAATGGAATGGAATGGAAAGGAATGGAATAGAATGTAATGGAATCAACTCGAGTGGAAAGGAATGGAATGGAAAGGAATGGAATGGAACGGACAGAATGGAATGCAATAGAATGGAATGGTATGGAATGGAGTCAACCCGAGTGGAATGGAATGGAATGGAATGGAATGAAATGGAATGGAATGGAATGCAATGGAAAGGAGTGGAATGGAATAAACAGCAGTGGAATGGAATGGAATGGAAGGGAATGGAATGGAAAGGAATGGAATGGAATGGAATGGAATGGAATGCAATGGAAAGGAGTGGAATGGAATAAACAGCAGTGGAATGGAATGGAATGGAAGGGAATGGAATGGAAAGGAATGGAATGGAATGGAATGGAATGGATTGGAATGGAATGGAATAGAATGGAAAGGACTAGAATGGAATGGAATGGAATGAAATCAACCCGATTGGAATGGAATGGAATGCAATGGAATTGAATGGAATAAACTGGAAAGGAATCAAAGGGAATGGAATGGAATGGAATGGAATGGAATGGAATAGAATGGAATAGTATCAACTCGAGTGGATAGTAATGGAATGGAAAGGAATGGAATGGAAAGGAAAGGAAAGGAATGCAATGGAATGCAATGATATGCAATGGAGTCAACCCTAGTGGAATGGAATGGAAAGTAATGGAATGAAATGGAATGGAATGGAATGAAATGGAATGGAATGGAATGCAATGGAATGGAGTGGAATGGAATAAACACCAGTGGAATAGAATGCAATGGAATGGAGTGGAATGGAATGGAATGGAATCCACCCGAGTCGAATGCAATGGTATGGGAAGGAATGGAATGGAATCAACCCGGGTGGAATGGATTGGAATGGAATAGAACGGAATGGAACAGCATGCAATGCAATGGAATCAAGTAGAATGGATTGGAATGGAATCGAACTGAATCAACCTGAGTGGAATGGAATGGAATGGAATGAATGGAATGGAATGGAACGGATACTAATGGAATGGAATGGAAAGGAAACAACCCGAGTGGAATGGAATGCAATGGAATGCAATGGAATGGAATAGAATGGAATGGAATGGAATGGAATGGAATTC